>NC_000002.12:89530679-89685992 GCF_000001405.40 Homo sapiens
GATCATTAGGCTGGCCCAAATTCAATATGCTTAGTGTCTTTATTTTTTATGTTTTTGAGATGGAATTTTGCTTGTTGCCCAGGCTGCAGTGCAATGGCATAATCTCGGCTCACTGCAACTTCCGTCTCCTGGGTTCAAGCAATTCTCCTGCCTCAGTCTCCCAAGTAGCTCGGATTACAGGCACCTGCCACCATGCCCAGCTAATTTTTGTATTTTTAGTAGAGATGAGGTTTCACCATGTTGGCCAGGCTGGTCTCGAACTCCTGACCTCAGGCAATCCACCTGCCTCGGCCTCCCAAAGTATTGGGATTACAGGCGTGAGGCACCGCGCCTGGCCCTGGTGTCTTTATAACAAGAGGAGAGAAGGACACAGACACACACAGAGAGACAGCCATGTAAAGACACTGGAGGAAATTGACCATCTACAAGCCAAAGAGAGAGGCCTCAAAAGGAACCAACCCTGCCCATACCTTGATCTTGGATTTCTAGCCCCAGGACCCTGAGAAGAGAAATTCCTGTTATTGAAGTTGATGATCTGTGGTCCTTTGTTATGGCAGCCCAAGCTGATCAAAGATAACTGGCTGCTCATTCCAGGGGAGCCAAATCCCGTGAAGACAGAGCCTTATAGTGATACAGTGACAATGTGGAAAGCTTTCGTGAGGCCAGAACGAACTGCATTCGTTCATTCATTTATTTTTCTTGCAGTTCATCTTTAAATACTGGATGAACATTGTTCTCAGCATGGGGAATACAAGGCTGCAAAGTCTGTGGCACACACCGTGGGGGTGTCAGTTAGGTGAGAGGCAGTCCCCAAAACAGTGACAACGCTGGGCTCAGTGCTTTGACCAGAGTGTCCCAGAGCAATGAGGGAGCACAAAGGAGGGCATTTCGGCAGCTTGGGGTGAGAGTCAATTTCTGCCAGAGAAGGTCCCAGAACCGTTTGTGAGAGAGGGAGGAGCACAGGGTTAGTGGGTCAGAGGCCACTGGAAGAGGGTGTCTTTGGGACATGCAGTCTTTCCTCACAGTGGGGTAGCGGGAGGATGTGTGGGCACAGGCTGGATCCCTGTTTGGTGTAGGGCTTGTAAGCTTGCACTCTGGTCAGATTGCATGACTCTGGCTCTGACCACAGCTGTGTGACTTCAGGAAAATTATTTAACTTCTCTGGGCCTCATGGGTCTTACTTGCAAGGTGAGGACAATCACAGTACCTACTTCATGGGCTCGTTGTAGAGATTAAAGGCACATGTGTATGAAAAGCACTTGGCACAGGGCTAGGTGTGCAGCAAATTCTTGGTCAAGGCTGACCACCACCTAGGGGCTTGGGCTTCACCTCAAGGGCAGTGGGGAGCCACTGAAGGCTTTAGGCAGAAGAATGACTGGGACAGATATGAATTTTCAAAATATCCCTCTTAGTTGGTGGGTTGGAGATCCTAGCTTTCTAATTTAAGGCCTTTTATTGGCCAGGCAAGTCAATGAATTAATAATTCTATACCTGTTGGACACTTACCATGTGCTTTTGCTACATTAGATGACTGGCGAATGGAAAAAAGTATATATAACAATTAGGCGCTGTTCTAAAAAACAGAGCATTTATTTTAAAATTGTGGCAAATACTGAAAAACCCGTAGATATCAGGATGAAATCGCTTTTGTCAGACCCAGGCAAAATAGGCCTGGGAAAGCGCTAAGGAGAGGGCACTTCTGTCTACGTGTCTGAGATACAAAGTGTTTCCAAAGACTTTCTAAAAACCCTTCATGCATCTCCTGCTTTGAAGAGGTTGGACATTACTAGACATTCATTAGGACTGCAGTAAAGCAGATAAGATGCTCTTGGAAGAACACTTGTCCAGCACTGGCATCTCCACCAATGAACTGATGACAACTCTGGCTTTGAGCCTCTAGAACCGATGAACTTTTTTTCTCTGTGGATTATGTAAATCTCTCTTTGCTAATAACAGCTCCTCCTTACCCTTCCCTCACCGAATGCGCTGGTGGCTTGCCATTCCATGCATTCTGGACTGTAATTCCTATTTCCAAGTAAATCCAACATATTTAGCGATAATTTTCTCTAATGTCTTTTTTTTTCAGGTTGACAATCACATAACATTTACCATCTTAGTCATTTTAAGCATATGGTTCATTAATGTTAAGTACATTCACTTGTTGTACAACCAATCTGCAAACGTTTTTCATCTTGCAAAACTGAAACTCTGAGCCCACTAAACAACTCTCTATTTCCTCCTCCTCTGGCTTTTGGCAAACTCTGTTCTACTTTCTGTCTTTATGAGTTTGAATATTCTAGATGCCTCGTATAAATTGAACCATACAGTATTGGTCTTCTTGTGTCTGGCTTATTTCTCACAGCATAACGTTCTCAAGGGTCATCCATGATGTAGCCAGAATCATGGCTGAGAAGGAGCCGTGTATTTGTGTGCACATGTCTGTCTCACCCTATGGTGCCTGAGGCTCTCCCAGGGCTGCTTGAGAACTGAGTCCTTGTGTTTTTCAGGTTTGGGGTGATCCACTTGGTGTTCACCAACCTGCTTCTGTGGGCCAACGGCGTCCTCAATGAGTCAAAGCACCAACTCAATGAGCACAAGGAATGGCTCATCACTCTGGGCTTTGGGAACATAACAACAGGTGAGTGCTGAGAGAGGTGAGTGGCCCCTCTGCCATGTTGGAATGTCTTGGAAACCTGCAGAGTCCACAGTGTTCAGAGATGGAGTGCAGGTTCCAAAGAACTTCAGGCCCACCAAAGTCAGCATCAGCCAGACAGCCCCCTGTTGTTGAAAATCTTCCAAAACCTGAATCTCTCATAAGTGATGTGTACTGAGCATAATTAAGGTTTCTTCCATGACTCAGGGACTTGTAAGACCCACGGTGATCATTCTGATGGCCATTTCTCATGGTCCAGTTTGCCGCAGAAATAAATGTCTTTGTTTTCAACTACAGAAGATTGATGGTTGCCTCTGCTTGTGTTTTTAATTAAACCTCTATTACCAGTTCTTTCTAGTAAAAGTATGGCTTTTAAAAATTCATAAAAGTCTAATGGTAGGTTGTGGTTAATAGGCTGTGGTTCATTTAAAGTTTTAATTTAACTGTAGTTGGCTTATAATTCTAGCTCATGTCTGTTCTAACTTGTTCCTATTTGAGAGCCTGTTGGGTTAATCTTTATATTTTCATCTAAAATCCTTTAGCATTTACAATATGTCACTTCTATATGAGAACATTCAGGCTGAGGGGAATGTGGGGCAGGGAACTGGGTGTCTCAGGTTTGTTCCCATCATGTACAAGCTGTGTGACCTTTAGAAGACTTTTAATCTCTCTGAGCCTCCCTTTTCTCATTTGTAAAGTGAGGGTATCCAAATCATGCACTTGCAAAGATCCCTTCCAGCTTTAACATGCAGCAAGTCTGTGACAGCTGTGTGAACCCAGGCTGTCCTGGAGAGCCACTTTGAACCTGTTTTGTCATCAGTGGGGTGGAGACAATGAAGTCACCACCCCCAACCAGCAGGCACTCGGTGTTTGGGCCTCATGTCCTCTTTGGTATCAATATTAGTAGCAGCAATGACAACAATAACAAAAGTAAATTTTTATTAAGCATTTGCTGAGTGCCTGCCACTGTTGTTGGAAATTTACACATGTCATTTAATTTGTACCCCCACACTCTCTGGTAGGCTATATATGTGTGTATATGTATGTGTATATATATATATATATATATATATATATATATATATATTGTTGTTTGTTTGTTTGTTTTGAGACAGAGTCTCACTCTGTCGCCTAAGCTGGAGTACAGTAGCGTGATCTCGGCTCACTGCAACCTCTGCCTCCCATGTTCAAGTGATTCTCCTGCCTCAGCTTCCTGAGTAGCTGGGACTACAGGTGCGTGCCACCATACCTGGCTAATTTTTGTATTTTTAATAGAGACGGGGTTTCACTATGTTGGCCAGGCTGGTCTCCAACTCCTGGCCTTGTGATCCGCCAGCCTTGGCCTCCCAAACTGTTGGGATTACAGGCGTGAGCCACTGCGCCTGGCCTCAGGTAGACAATATTAACCTCATTATATGGATGAAGGCATCAAGCCACGGAGAAGTTAGCCCAGGGTAACACAGTGAACATGTGATACAGCCATGATTTGAATCCTAACAATCTGGCTTCAAGGCCCTCTGTGAAAGATGAGGTTGGATTAATTTTCTAAAAAAGGACTCTGTCAGCTGTAACATTCTGTTACTCTGAACTTTTCCTCCTGATTTCTTCCCTTGTCTTCTGCATAACACCGTATTGAATTGTAAGTGCTAGGGAAGCCCTGTGTGAATTGAAGATTATTACTGGGGCAGTGACTCACACCTGTAATCTGAGCACTTTGTAATCCTAAGGCAGGAGCATTGCTTTAGCCTAGGAATTTGAGACCAGCCTGGGCAACAAAGGGAGACCCCAGCTCTGGAAAAAAAAAAAAAAAAGCCAGGCATGGTGGCATGGGCTCGTGGTCCCAGCTATAGCTACATGGGAGACTGATGCAGGAGGATCACTTGAGCCCAAGAAGTCAAGGCTGCAGTGAGCTGTGTTTGTGCCACTGCACTCCAGCCTGGGCAACAGAGGGAGACCCTATATAAAAAAGAATAAAAAAAGAAAAAGAAAATTTCATAGTGTTCTGTGAAAGTAAAATTAATGCTACGATATAGTTTTTCTCAGATTTTTTTTTTTTTTAGACGGAGTCTCGCTTGTCGCCCAGGCTGGAGTGCAGTGGCATGGTCTCGGATCATTGCAAGCTCTGCCTCCCGGGGGTCACACTCTTCTCCTGCCTCAGCCTCCTGAGTAGCTGGGACTACAGGCGCCCACCATCACGCCTGGCTAATTTTTTGTATTTTTAGTAGAGACAGGGTTTCACCATGTTAGCCAGGATGGTCTCAATCTCCTGACCTTGTGATCTACCTGCCTCGGCCTTCCAAAGTGCTGGGATTACAGGCATGAGCCACCACACCCAGCTGCTTTTCTCAGATTTTGTAAGTAATATATACATATCATAAACTAAAACAATGACAAAGTGTGAAGCAAAAAAATCCACAACACTTACCCAGAAATGCAGTAAGTGCTGCGAATGTTTGGTTATTTTTTTGTAGTGTGCCATTTATTTATAGTTGATTTTATACTATATATTTGATCTTTTTTTATTGCAACCTTCAATAAGAGACAGATTTTACACTGTAATCCAAACACACACATACTTATGTGTGTATGCTTGATGAAATAATACTTAATTTTACTGTATCAGAGATGCTTCCAAATTTTATCGGAGTTGATTCCACTCCATTCTATCCCATTCTAGTCCACTGAAAATTATTTCTGCTACAAAAAAGTTGGTTGCTACCTGATTTTGCAGCCTTGTACTGGGTTGTGACTTGCATTAAAGAAATATACAGTTTGTTCTTACTTTTTTCCATTTTCCTTGAAACGAGATTACTTTCTTAATATTAAAACACATCCTGGCTGGGTGCAGTGGCTCATGCCTTTAATCCCAGAACTTCGGGAGGCTGAGGCGGGCAGATCGCATGAGCTCAGGAGTTCAAGACCAGCCTAGCCAACATGGCGGAACGTTGTCTCTACAAAAAATATAAAAATTAGCTGGGAGTGGTGGCATGGGCCTGTGGTCCCAGCTACTCAGCAGGCTGAAGTAGGAGGATGCTTGAGCACAGAAGGCTGATGTTGCAGTGAGCCAAGATTGTGCCACAGCACTCCAGCCTGGGCAACAGAGGAGGCTCTGTCTCAAAACAAACAAAAAACAAACCCCCCCCCCATACCCAAAACCATAAAGCACATCTTAATTATAACGTGCAGTGGCTGTCTACTATCTCATTGTTGGGATATACTAAAATTTACTTAACAATTTCTAAATTGTTGGACTTTGAGCTGTTCCTCTCTCTCTCTCTCTCTCTCTCTCTCTCTGTCTCTCTCTCTCTCTCTCACACACACACACACACAAACACACACAATTTTACCTGACTTTTTTTAAATTATTTTTTGAGACTGAGTCTCACTCTGTCACCTAGGCTGGAGTGCAGCGGTGCGATCTCAGCTGACTGCAACCTCTGCCTCCCAGGCTCAAGCGATTCTTCTGCCTCAGCCTCCCCAGTAGCTGGTATTACAGGCTTGCCACCACACCTGGCTAATTTTTGTAGTTTTAATAGAGATGAGGTTTCACCATGTTGGCCAGGCTGGTCTCGAACTCCCGACCTCAAGTGACCCACATGCCTTGGCCTCCCAAAGTGCTGGGATTACAGGGCTGAGTCACCACTCCTGGCCTTACCTGACTCTTTGATTACATTTTTATTTGTCCCTTTGAGTAGAAGGGTAGAATGGAAAGAATGGAATTATGGGTCAGAGACTGCATCGCCTTCAGGGCTTTGGTGACCTGTTTCGTCATTTACTTGCAGCATCTGCCCTCCTGTGATGAGAGGGCCCTCCATATGACAGCCAGCTTCTCTTCCAGAAGGTGGTGCCCGTTTACTTTCCCCGCACTGATATCAGAGAGCACCTGTCTCCTGCATGCTTGCTAGCACTGGAGTCTTAAGAGGCATATCTTTTGCTAATTAAAAGGGGCATTTTCTCCAGAAAGTATTTTTTAAAAATAATCTTAAAAAATCACACATGTAAATCATCTTCACAGAAAAAATTTAGAAAATACAGGGAAGCAAAATCTAGAAGAGGTTAAAAATCATCTGTCATTTTTCCACCCAGAGATAACAATTGTTGACATTTTAGTTTGTGTCCTTCCAGGTTTTTTCTGTCTGTCTGTGTGTGTGTGTATCCATCTATCTATCTATCATCTACATATCTATTTTTTACAACAATAGAGTCATCTTCTCTATCCTCTTTGGCAACTCACCAAATAAATGTGATTTAGGTAATGAATATGCTTTGGGGATACTCAGGGCTATCAAATTAGCCATCATATTAAACGTGATAATAAGCCATGACATGAAAAAGCTTGTAATCCAGTGGGAAGACTCAAGCCTGAATCCACAGTGGAAACAGTTTTCTGTGCTTTTCTGCTTCCCCTTGCACCTGCTAATAGCCCCTCTGTGTGATCAACCTGTCTCCCCTAGTTTTAGATGACCACACACCGCAGTGTAACTGCACGCCCCCAACTCTCTGCACCACCATCTCCCACGGGATCTACTATAACTACTACCTCTACCCCTTCAACATAGAGTATCAGATCCTGGCCTCCACAGTGCTCTACGTCCTATGGAAGAACATCGGGCGCAAAGTTGACAGCCATCAGCACCAGAAGATGCAGTTCAAGCCTGATGGGGTCACGGTGGGCACAGTCCTGGGCCTGACCGCGCTGGCTGCCACCATTGCCGTGGTGGTGGGTGGTGCACCTGATTCATATTGGGTGCTCCAAGACCAAGAGCGAGTCAGCACTCATCACGTTCTACCTGTATGTCATCACCCTGATGATGCTTATGGGGGCTGCGGGGCTGGCTGGAATCCGGATTTACAGGACAGATGAGAAGTCACTGGATGAGTCCAAAAATCCGCCCCGCAAACTGGACTCGGACCTCTTGGTGGGCACTGCCTCAGGCTCCTGGCTTATCTCCTGGGGCTCAATCTTGGCCATCCTTTGTGCCGAGGACCACCCCCACTACACCTGGTACAACCTGCCCTACTCCATCGTGGTGATCATGGAGAAGTACATCCAGAACCTCTTCATCTTTGAATCCATTCACCGAGAGCCTAAAAAACTCTCTGAGGACATCCAAACCCTTCGGATGGTCACAGTCTGCAATGGCAACACCATGTCCCTTGCTTCCTCCTGCCTCAAGAGTGGAGTTGTGGCCGGAGACGTGGCTCCCTGGGGCAGGGACATGCCACCAGCAGCCAATGGAAATGTGTGCCTGAGAGAAAGTTGTGACAAGGAGGAGAAGCAGGAGGAGAGCAGCTGGGGAGGGAACCCAAGCCCAGTCCACCTTCCTCGTTTCTTACAGGGCAACGCCAAGAGAAAAGTCCTGAGGAATATTGCAGCCTTCTTGTTCCTCTGCAATACTTTGGTAATCTGCACCAAGTTATTCTTATTCTTTTAATTTTGCTGTAAACTTTCATTTTAGGTTCAAGGGGTACGCATGCAGATTTGTTACATGGGTAAATTGCGTGTCGCTGAGGTTTGGTGCACAAATGATCCCGTCACCCAGGTAATGAGCATAGTACCCGATAGGTAGTTTTTCACCCTGCACCCCACTTCTGACCTCTCCCCCTAGTAGTCCCTAGTAGTGTCTATTGTTCATATATTTGTGTTCATGACTACCATTAGCTCCCACTTATAAGAGAGGACATGAGGTATTTGGTTTTCTGTTCCTGTGTTAATTCACTTAGGATAAGGACTCCATTTCTATCCAGGTTGCTGCAAATAATGTGATTTCATTCTTTTTTAAGGCTGCATAATATTCCATGGTGTAGAGCTACCACATTTTCTATTTTTTTTTTTTTTGAGAGAGGGTCACGCCCCATTGCCCAGGCTGGAGTGCAGTGGCATGATCACAGCTCACTGCAGCTTCGACCTCCTGTGCTCAAGCAATCCTCCCATCTCAGCCTCCTGAGTACCTGGGACCACAGGCATGTGCCACTACACCTGGTTAATTTTAAAAACTTTTTTTGTTTTTGAGACAGAGTTTCACTCTTGTTGCCTAGGCTACAGTGCAATGGTGCTCACTGCAACCTCTGCCTCCTGAGTTGAAGTGATTCTCTTGCCTCAGCCTCCAGAATAGCTGGGATTACAGGCACCTGCCACCACAGTTGGCTAATTTTTGAAAATATTTTTAGTAGAGATGGGGGTTTCACCATGTTGGCCAAGCTGGTTTCGGACTCCTGACCTCAAGTGATCCACCTACCTTGACCTCCCAAAATGCTAGGATTACAGGTGTGAGCCACCATGCCTGGCCAAAACTTTTTTTTTTTTTTTTTGTAGAGATAGGTTCTCACTGTGCTGCCCAGGCTTGTCTTGAACTCCTGCGCTCAAACAATCCTCCTGCCTCAGCTTCCTAAAGTGCTAGTATTACAGATGTGAACCACTGTACCCGGCCATAATACATTTTCTTTATCCAGTCCATTATTGATGGACATCTAGGTTTCTCTTGCCTTTTTAAAATAAGGAATGGAGGCAGCTTGTAATAAAAATACTGTAAGTATAAAATTACAATATAAGGCTGGAAAATAGACCTATATTCTACAAATCTACCTACTGAAGACTTGCTGTGTGCTAGGGGCTGGGCTAGGTACTAAAGATTAAAGTGGAAAGACTCAGTCTCTTTCCTCTAAAAGGTCTCAGTATAATGGGGGAGGGAGACAATGAGCAAATCTAATATAGTGAACAGGACAAGTGCTGAGATGGGCTTGTGCAAGGTGTACTAGGAGCAGGGATCCAGAAGGACTTCAGTGAGTAGTGAGTGCTTGAGGTGAGGCCCAGTGTCAATCAGGAGTGCTTTTAGTTGCAAGTGACAGGCAATTTGATTCACAGTGTCTTCAGTCTTATCAATGTTTAATTATCTCCTGAGAATTCCAGAGGTTGGCTGCTTGGGGTTGGCCTGGCAGCTGAACCGTGTCATCAGGCATCCAGGCACTGTTCATCTTGTCACTTGGGTCGTGTGGTGTTTGTTGCGACATGGTCATGAGATGGCTGCAGCTGCACCAGGCATCACATCTGGGTTCAAGACAGAAAGCAGTGGGGAAGGGCTGGTGCCAGACAATGTCTCTCATGTGGGCACCCCTCACTGCAAGGGAGGCTGGGGAAGTGGACGGTTTGCTTCCCAGCCTCTCTGATGGAAGGTAGCAAGGGAGAGGAAGGTGTACAGTCACTCACCCATCTGTCTGCATCAGCAAGGAATGACTGGAAGTTCACCAGGTTATCAAGGCGGGGAAAAGCATTTCAGGCAGAGACACACAATATGTGAAGACACAGAGGCAAAAGACACCATGGCATGTTTTGAGAGCACCAAGTAGTTTGGCATAAATTCCATGTGTGTTAAGCAGAGTAGCAGAATGGGAAATAGGAGAGAGGGCCCAGGTAGGTGGACTCTGGCTTGAGCAGGGCTTCCTAGGCCTGGCTGGAGTCTAGTCTTTATGCTGAGGGCAAGGGAAGACTCTCTCAGATTTGTGTTTTGGAATGATCCTCCCAGTAGCTGTGTGTAGCAAGGATGGAGACAGATAGGGCCAGAAGCAGAAAGACTGGGAGAGAAAGCCCTGCAACAGCCCAGGCAGGAAGGGGAGGAGCTTGAACTAGGGCAGTGATGGAGGGATGGAGAGAAGAAAAAGGAATAAGAAGCATTGTGTGCTGTTGGGATTTTTTTAAAGACACATAAAGGAAGGATGGTGGGGGTCAGTAAGAAGGAGGGGGAAGCAGCCTTTGCCACCGCATGAGTCTCTGCAGTGATGGTGACTGGTGGCTGGAGGGGAGTGCCCCAGTCCACAGAGGTGCCTGCCCATCACTCTGGGTGAAGTCAGCTCTGTGCTACTAGCCTCTGTTATCAAGCCTGCTCCCTGTTGCCCCAGCAGCTCAGAGGCTTTTGAGCTTCCTCCCCTGAATTTCAGATGGTGCATATGGGGCCTGCAGCTTTTGATATCACCCTAAGAACACAAAGTTGGGAAAGTAAGTCCCTTCTAAAGTCAGAATGGCTGTGTGTCTGCCAAGCAAACCTGATCCACCCTAGCCTTGGATCACCCAGGTTCCTTCAGTTTGCTAGGCAGTGAGGAGGGGCTCTGAAGGTGGAAGGCCCAGAAGAGTTTGGCTGCAGGGAGACCCTCTTCTCCATCTAACAGACATTTGCCAGGCACCTGCTGTATGCCAGGGACTATGTCAGGGGCACAGCAGTGAGTCAAAAATTGAAAGAGTTAACAAGAGAGATAGATACTGTAAGCTGCATTTTTTTGAGGTGCATATTCCAAAATGCAAATTCTTATAAAGTCAGAGCTAGTTCTAGAATCTTCCTCAAGTATATGCTTTTTGTACATATCCTGTGATTAATATTAATATACATATATTTTGAGATGGAGTCCTGCTGTGTTGCCCAGGCTGTAGTGCAATGATGCGATCTCGGCTCACTGCAACCTCCACCTCCTGGGTTTAAGTGATTCTCCTGCCTCAGCCTCCCGAGGAGGTGGGACTACAGGCATGCAACAACCATGCCCAGCTAATTTTTCTACTTTTAGTAGAGACAGGGTTTCACTAGGTTGGTCAGGGTGGTCTCGAACTCCTGACCTCAGGTGATCTGCCTGCCTAGGCCTCCTAAAATGCTGGGATTACAGGCGCGAGCCACTGCTTCTGACCTAATATTTCTTTTTAAAACTAAGTTCTGAAAAGTTGTCTTTCCCTGGTTGCCTTTTTGGTTGACCACTGGGTGAAATACTTGGCTTGCATTTTTGGACCCACTTGAAGAAAGATAGCACTGTCTGAAATACCAGAATCAAGTGGCAATTCATGGTCTGTCAGGACCCGAAAGCCAGACCCAGGGCCCAGTCCAAGGAGAAGGGTGGGCTCCGTCTCTTCCTCCCTGTGCTTGGCCCATGATGCCCCCAGGCACTGGTTGGGTTCTGGGGGGTTGAACCAGAGGATGGAAATCATCGCAGGGTGGAGTCTTAGGATACCCGTGCTGGCTCATGGGGTGGCACTTTGAAACCTTGTGGTTGACCCCAGGTGGTGCCAAAGGCATCTGGCAGAGAGCAAGAGCTGTCTTCTCCAGCATCGGGAGCCAGTCCAGAGGCCCCAGCTGCAGGTGCTGATGTGCATGTCCAGGTGGAGTGGGCTCCACTCCAGAGACGGACATGGAAATGTTAGTTGAATTTCCAGGAGCCGTGGCACTGGAGACAACAGAGGGTGGTTGTGGTGACGGGGAAGGGCAGGGTGCTGTGGGAGATGGGTCAGGGAAGGCCTCTTCTAAGGAAGGGTGTGGATGGGGCTGGGATGAGAGACTATCAGGGCAGAGCTGCAGGTGTGGGGAAGGGACGGATGCAAGGCAAGGCAGGGCTCACTGGACATGACCTGGGAGCACAGAGCAGAGGGCAGAGGGGAGACCACACAGGGCCTGCGAGCCAAGACTCAATCTTAAATGCAACAGAAAACCATGGAAAGGTCTACACTGAGAGTGACGGGATCTGACTCATGCTTATTTTGTTATATTTTTAATTGTGGTAAAAAACTCATCACATAAACTTTTCCATTGCACTCACTTTCAAATGTATAGTGGAGTAAAGTACGTTCACATTGTGCAAACATCACACCATCCATTTCCAGGTTATTCTCATCTGGCAAAACTGAAACTCTGTCCCCATTAAATATGAACTCCCCATTCTCCCCAGCCCCTGACAACCACCGTTCTTTCAGTCTCTAGGAATTTGACTCCTAGACTCCTCATATAAGTGAATTTGTGGAGTATTAGTCCTTTTGTGATTAGGTTATTTCACTCATCATAACACCCTCCAGGGTCTCCAGGTTGCAACTCGCAAAGGGTGACAGATGCCAAACATGACCCCTGCCTTCACACTTGAGTTCCTGGGGAGATGGTGATACTATGTTGGAGATGGAGGACTCTGGAGGAGGGGCAACCTTGGGAGCAGTGGGTGGAGGTCAGTGTGGAAGGAAGAACCAGAGTTAAGTAATGAACGTGTTCTGTTTCAGGTGCCTCTGTGGCATCCAAATGGACGAACCCAGTAGACAGGTATTTTGGTTTTCTATTGCCGTGCGATGAACTACCACTAATGTATGACAAAAGCAACATGCATGACTGTTTTTGTCCCATGGCATTTATTGTGACTCATGGCTTTGTGGGTTAGAAATTCTGGCAGGGCTTGGATGGGCAGTTCTGTTCCTCACAGCATCAAGTGAAGTTGGTGAAGCCTTGGCCAGAAGCTTCGTGGTCTGATGCCTTGGGTGGGGGTGGCTGGGAGGCTGGGCTCAGCCAGGACTCTTGACTGGGGCATCCACAGGTGGGTCTCCAGCATGACGTCTCAGGGTGGTTGGACTCCATGCGTGATGGCTGAGGGCCCCAGAGCTGACCCTCCAAAAGACTGAACTGGAAGCTGCCTGTCTCCTAAGGCCTGGGCTTGGAAACTGCATGGTGTCATTTCTGCCATATTTTATTAGTCATGTAGTCACAGAGTCCATCTAGATTCAAAGAAAGAGGTCATAGGCCACTTCTCAATAGGATAAGTAACAAGAATTTCCAGCCAACTAAACAGCACATATAAAGATGTGGATTTCAGAAAAGAGGTCCCATTTTCCTGCCTTCCTTTCTTCTCCCTTTTCCTCCCTGTCTCCCTTGCCCTTCCTCTCACCCTTCTTTTAAAAGGTGTCCCTTAAGTACCTACAGAGGTACAGGGACTGCTATGAATGGTGAGGGTACAGCAATGACCAAGATCTCTGGTCTTCCTCTTATGGGGCTTACAAACCAGGCAACAGCAGGTGAAACCATCAACTGAGCAAGAAAGACACCTTATAGTGTACCCGTGTTAAGCAGAGAAGTGGAAAAGGAGGGTGTGGGAAATAGCTCTTGGGCTGCCATTGTAGATCAGATGGACCAGCTTAGCGGGAAGGCCTCGCTGAAGGGTGACATGAGACAGGAAGGGGTTGGCCACGCATGTTCAGGGCAGAGGGAACAACGGCTGGTATAAACCCCCAGTGGGAGTGAGCGGGTCTGGTTTGAGAAACAGGAAGAAGGGTTGCCTGCAATGTGGGTGGGGTGAGTGGGGAGAAGCGTGGGTGGTTAGAAATCAGCTAACAGAGCACTTTATCACTCAGTGCGGGAGTGTAGAATTTATTTTAAATATTTTGGGAAGACTTTAGGGGTTTAATCAAGGTAGGGACAGGATCTGATTTCCATATAATGTAAATCTGGTGGCCGAGTGGAACCCTAGTTCGAGCTGGGAGACCAGGCACGGGGCCACCGCCATGGTCCAGGTGAGAGAGGCCGGCTGGACAGGTGGAGAGAGAGAGCCACAGGTGGGCTGAAGATACTGCTTTGGAGGTGCACAGTGGAGATGCGCTGAGGGACTGGATGGGAGAGGGCATGGTTATGAGAGTAGGAGGGAGATAAGGTTGACACCTGGAGCCTCGATGGACCACCTGGGAGGACGATGTAGCTGAGCAGATGGAGAAATGGGGAAGGTGGGTTGAGTTTGAGATGTGTTTTAGACACCCAAGTTGCCACCGGAAACTATGAGTCTGGGGTTCTTGGAAGTGGTCCAGGCTGGAGATTGAGACTGGGAAGTCATAGGCCTATAGCTGGTATTTACAACCAGGGACTGGGAGAGAGCCCCAGGGTTCATGTGTAGAGAGAATAGAAAGGGACCCAGGAATGAGCCCTGGATGCTGGCTAACATTAAGAGGCAGAGCAAAGGATGAAACAGCAAAGGAGACTGGGAGGGACCCGCCGAACAAGTAGGAGAGCTCCTAAGAGTCACAGCAGCCAGTAAGCAAAGCAGAAGAGAGGGGTCTTGGTTCCAGGGCCCCCGTGGTGTATACCAAATGCACAGATGCTCAAGTCCTATATATAAAATGGGGTAATACTTGCATGTAACCTACCCATCCTCCCGTACACTTTAAGACATCTCTAGATTACTTAGAATACCTAATACAATTTAAATGCTATGTAAATAGTTGTTACATTGTATTGTTCAGAGAATAATGACAAGAAGAAAGTTTGTACCTATTCAGTACAGACACAACAAACCATTTTATTTTTTTAATTAATTTATTTTTATTTTTTGAGACCGAGCTTCACTGTTGCCCAGGCTGGAGTGCAGTGGCATGATCTTGGCTTACTGCAAGCTTCGCCTCCTGGGTTCAGGGGATTCTCCTGCCTCAGCCCCCTGAGTAGCTGGGATTACAGGCACATGCCGCTACACCTTGCTAATTTTTTGCATTTTTAGTAGAGATGGGGTTTCACCATGTTGGCCAGGCTGGCCTTGAACTCCTGACCTCAGGTGATCCACCTGCCTCGGCCTCCCAAAGTTCTGGGATTATAGGTGTGAACCACTGTGCCCAGCCTACTTTTTGAATATTTTTGATCTGTGGTTGGTTCAATCCACAGACACAGGTCCCTGGATACAGAGGTCGGCTGTATATACCAGGGAGTGTTCTGTATGGAGATACAAATGAAGGCTATGTGTCTCAGTTACGTATTGCTATGGAAGAGACCACCCCAATACTCAGCAACTTAAAACAATGTACATTTATGATTTCATAGTTTCTCTGACTTATGAATCCAACTACAGTTTTAGCTGAGTATCTCTGCACAGGGCCATTCCCAGGCTGAAACTGTTGGCTGGGGCTGCATTCATTTCAAGGCTTGACTTTCCGAGAGGTGGCAGAGGATTTGTTTCCAAATCTACTCATGTGACTGTTGGCAGGATTCAGCTGTGGCTTGTTGGGCTGAGGGTCTGAGTTCCTTGCTGGCTGTTGACAGGAGTACTCCCTGGGCCCCTTGCCGCGTAGGGTGCTTCGCAGCATGGCAGCTCTGCCACCTGTCTTTCAGGAGAAGATGAGCAAGAGGGATAACAGGTCCTTTTGCAACCTAATTTCAGAAGTGACTTCCTGTGTCTTTTGCCATATTTTGTGAGTTGGAAGTGAGTCGTTAGGTGCATCCCACACTAAAGGGGTGGGGACTCCACAAGAGGGTGACTGCAGGAGCTGGGGATCATTGAGGGTCATCCTAGAGGCTGCCTGCCACAGCCAGGGAGTGGAGGAAGCTGAAGAAGGGTGCAGCCTGAAGCAGGAGTGAGGAGCCTGACAACTCAAGGGGTGGCAGAAAGGGAGAGAACTGGGACAGAGAAGAGCCTGAGAAGCAGGGAACAGTGTGTAGGTTCCGTGAGCAACACAAACAAAAGTCACTGCTTTCAGTTTTGCAAACTTAATTCTCATCTAAGCCCTCTCAGACACGTGTTAGAATTCCCATCTTTCAAATGAGGAAACTGAGGCTGGGCGAGGGCTGTAGAGATGGAGAGAGTTGGATGGGTTCAAAGAGCGCTCATTAGGGATGGATTGCAGGGAAGGGTGGGTGAGGAAGTGAGCAGGATCATGGCAGACATGGATTTGGTGGTTTCTGTGGAGATGGGAAATGCCACGAGGTCTCCTTATTGTTCTGTCAGGGGTGACTCAGTCCCCGTGCATCAGGGTCAGCTCCCATGAGGCCTGGGACTTGAGTGGGGCCTCCATGGTGGCTTGGAAGCTGCTCCCCACCACAGGCCATTTTCTCTTCTCTTGCAGCTTTGGATACCTCCCGCTTTTGGCTGTCGACCTGAGTATGACAACGGATTGGAGGAGATTGTCTTTGGCTTTGAACCCTGGATAATTGTGGTCAACCTGGCCATGCCTTTTTCTATTTTCTATGGAATGCACGCAGCTGCCTCCCTCTTTGAGGTCTATTGTAAGATATAGTCTGGTTCCACAAGAGACCGAGGAGTGAGCTAACAAGAGTTCATTGGAGCCAACTGGGAATGGCCAGGTTGGACAAATATTGCCTGACAAACATGAGAAGGGCCACCTTTTGTCTGCAAAGATTGTGCTTCCTGTGGGCTGGAACTGCCCATCACCTCTGATGAATGTAAACAAGTTAGATCAAAATCCATAAGGTGGCTGGAATCTGTCCTTGGTTAGTTAAATGCTAATCAAGCCCAAATTATTTTATTGCCTTCTAAATGATTTAGAAGAATGTGATTCTGGCTTGGGAAAAAATCTATCCAGTTTGTTTTTCATAAAAAGCATTTTCTTTGTGTCATTTATCATGTGACTCCATACAACCTTTTCCTGACCACCTGCATAGTAATTTACACTTTAAAAATTTATCCTTCTCAAAGCCTATGAATTTAGACACAATCACTATTGTTTCTGAATAGGTTTAATTTCTTGAAGTTATTTTTATCAGCTGGATAGAAATTTGTATACAGACCAATATAAAAACACATTTCTTACCTGAAATGTTGGCACATTTTTGTGATCATTTTCAAGTATTTTTAAAAAGAAATTTCACTGTTCTCTCTTTCACTGTAAATACATACATGTTTATTGTAAAAAATTTGGATATTTCAGAAAAGTAGAGAGAAAAAGTCACCTACGATGCCATTGTTCAATTAACAATTACTTTTAATATCTTGGTGTATTTCTTCCGACCATGTTGATGAGATTCTTTTTATTGTCATTATTATACCTTTGAATGGTGATGTAACATATTTGATTTTGTATTCAGTTATTTTCCTACTTAACAATATGGCATAAACCTTGCCCCCATATTGTTATAAGTTCTTTATAAATATCATTTTAATGCTGTATGATAGTCTATCAAGTGAATGTACCTTAATTAACACAGTTTCCTATGGTTGGTTTTACAGTGTTTATAACTTTTTGCTTTTATAGGTAACTCTGCAAAAATCAACCATATTTGTGAAGCATTTCCTATATTTAGAATTGCTTCTTTAAGATATGGAATTACAATTAGGATGCCTAGTCCAAAGATTAAGTTTATAAATATTTCAAAGGTGCCTAAGGAATATTGACATTTGGGAGGCCTTTGTATAGTTTTTCCACAGCTATTTTAAAATAATAATAAAATTAATTTTCTTACTGTAAGTATTAATGTATCTTTTCATTTGAGTGTATTTTTTTCAGACAGTGCAGGCAATGGGACAGTAATAAATACAAAGTTTTTTTTTAACATGACTAAAGTACACTTATTTTAGAAAAAACTAAAAAATAGGCATATATACTAAAAAACAAAGGAAAGCATCATCTATACATGTCCCATCTAGAGAATCGGTTCTCCAACTGGGGACCTTGTTCCTTGAGGGGACATTTAGCAATATCTGAAGACATTTTTAAATATTTATTTTTTATTAAAATTAAAATAAATCTAAATTATACATAACATTTATACATACTTACAGGGTACATGTGATATTTTGATATAAACATATAATAAATAATAATCAAATCAGGGTGACAGATATTCATACCCTCAGGTATGTATCTTTTTTGTGTGTTAGGAACATTCTAATTTCACTATGTTAGTTACTCTAAAATATACAATAAATTGTTGTTAACTATAGTTGTACTTTTATGCTACCAAACACATTTTTGATTGTTACACTACTGCACCCAGGGATACTGCTAACACCCTACAACACACAGGACAGCCCCACCACAAAGTCTTCGGGCTGATTGTCAATGGTGCTGAGGTAATCTAGAGGTAACTGCTGTTAAGTATTGTTATCTAGGTAGCTATTAGTACACACACACAGGCTGGACGTGGTGGCTCACGCCTGTAATCCCAACACTTTGGGAGGCTGACACAGAAGGATCGCTTGAGGCCAAGAGTTTAAGACCATCCAGGGAACACAAACATAGTGAGACCCTGTCTGTACAAAACACAAAACAAAAAACCCAGGTGCGGTGGAGTATGCCTGTAGTCCCAGCTACTCATGAGGCTGAGTGGAGAAGATCACTTGAGCCCAGGAGTTTGAGATTGGGTAGTGAGACAAGATTGTGCCACTGCATTCTAGCTTGGGTGGCACAGTAAGACCCTGTCTCTAAAAAATAAAAATTAAAAAAATATATATATATATATATTTATTTTTATTTTTTTGAGACAGACTTTCACTCTTGTCACCCAGGCTGGAGTGCAATGGCATGATCTTGGCTCACTGCAACTGCCGCCTCCTGGGGTCAAGCGATTCTCCTGCCTCAGCCTCTGGAGTAACTAGGATTACAGATGCCTGCCACCACGCTCAGCTAATTTTTGTATTTTTAGTACAGACAGGGTTTCATCATATTGGCCAGGCTGGCCTTGAACCCCTGACCTCAGGTGATCCACCTACCTTGGCCTCCCAAAGTGCTGGGATTACAGACGTGGGCCACCGCACCCAGCCGATAATTTTTTTTTTCAAAAGTACGCATACACCCACACCCACACCCATACTGCGTTTGTATGTAACTTGCTTTTTTCCTCTTGATACACCAGAGTGCTTCTTCCCTATTTTGGGTCCCAGGCATCGATGCTCTGGCTTTAGTGTGCCTGAGACTCATCTGGGGAACTTGTTAGGATTCCTGCCCTCCAAGCTGGAAGTGCAGATTCAGTCTGGAGGGGGGCCCGGAAGTCTGCACTTTCATGAGCATCTCAGGGGATGCCAACTCCCTTTGATAAGCATCTCCTTGGACGTCCATGGACCCCAAGCTAGGACTCCTAAGTTTCCTTGACATTGTATATCCATATGCAGTATGATTTTGGGTGGATTTAAGGTACATTCCATGGAAGGATGTACCATTCCTTATTTTTTCAAACGGTGATGTTGGACATTTAGAGATATTTAGGTGGTTCCTTTTTTTTGGTGCTACTGTAAACAATGCTATGGTGATCATCTTTGTAACTGAGTCTTTGAGGTCAGTAACAAACTATCCTCTGGAGTGATTTATGCTGACTAAGCAGTGACTGAGCAAGAATACAGGTTTCCCCATTTTGGTTGGCATTACCTTTACCCCTGTTCTAAGCACATTAGAAAAGCCCTGAGGCCTCAGCTGTGGGTTTTGGGCTCTTCCAAGGAGACAAAGGAGCTATCATAATGCTGGGAATGATGGATCCAGGCTGTGGGGATGCTATTGTGGACACAGGGCAGCATCAGAGCTTGGAAAAGCCTGCATGGCTGGCCAGGCTCAGCGTTTCCAAGAAAGGATCTAAAGATGGATGAAGCATCTCCTATCCTCAACAGGCAGCCTCAGGGATGGCTATTTCAGCTAGTTGCTTTTTACCTCCAAGTAATTAAGCATCCTGACTCAACCAGCGTAGGTGGCAAGGAAAATTTACTATCTTAATGCCAAGGCAATTTGCCAAAGAGGAACCAGAATGTGCAATACACAAGTGTTAAGGTCTCAGGGATTAATACAGGGAATACAAATTGAAATAATAATGAGTTACCACTTCCCATTCATTAGATTGGTAAGAGTTGGCAAGAAGTGAAAGAAAGACTCATATATACTGCTAGTGGGAGCGTAAATGAATAAAATCAGATAGGACAGCAATTGGCAATATTGACTAAGGCTGGAGGTACACATTCCTTACGACCTAAGAATTCTGTTCCTTGGCATGTGCTCCAGAGACAGCCTCACACCTATGTTCAGGAATGTTCACTCAGCATAACTTGTAATTAGGAAAATGGAAAACAGCCTAAATGCCTGTCAATTAGGAGTGCAGATAGACACACTAGGGACAATTTCCATGATGGACTATTTCACAAGAGGAAAAAATGAACACAACAGAATTCATGTATCAACATGGATAGTCCCCCAAAACAATGTTGAATGAAACATTAAGTAGTGTAAGGGTATAATTGGTATGATACCATTTATATGATGTCTAGGAACAAGCAAAACAATCCCTGATATTGCTGGGGGATATGTCCATATGTAGTAAGATTACAAACACACCTGAAGAAAGAATGCATGCCAAGTTCAGTGTAGTGAGAAGGGGAGGGGCTTGGAACCAGCAACTGAGTTCATGCTGTGTCCGAAATATTTTTTCTTAAGCAAAGATGTATTCATTATGTTTTCATCTGCACTCTTAAAATGTACTCTTTAAATGTACTTTTAATGTATTTTAAAGAAATTTTAAATGAGATATTTAATAATACAAGTATTTGAGAGCAATAAAAAAAGAAAGTCCATACAAGGAAGATGAACTTAGACAGAGCTACCAGAGCAGGTAAATTTCCAGCATTCTTCCATCATTGTTGAGAGATGGGTGTCAAAGCCAGTGGTGTTCTGTTCTCCTTGGCAGGTAGATCCCCAAGGTGGGGTAGCTCAATGCAATTAGCTGGTAAGATCACCGGACTCACTCTTCCAGGGATGACTCCGTGCACATTAGGAAACCTGACATTGGTTTGCCTTCCAATGTCTCTCTTTGCTGTGGGGGCAATGCCCTGGGCACACATATTATCAGGACAATCTGCAATGGACTGGATGTTTGTTTCCCCCTTAAATTCATATGTTGAAGCTTAATGGCAATGTGGTGGTATTTGGAGGTGGGGTCTTTGGGAGGTAATGAGGTCATGACGGTAGGACCCTTGTGAATGGGATTAGCGCCTGTAAGAGGGGGCCAGAGAGCTTGTGCACTTCTTTTCTGTCATGTGAGGATGCAATGAGAAGACAGCTGTCTGTGACCTGGAAGAGGGCCCTCACCAGAACCCGACCATGCCAGCACTGGCACCCTGATCTTGGGCTTCCAGCCTCCAGACCTGTGAGAAATAAATGCCTGTTGTTGATTAGCCACCCAGCTTGTGCTATTTTGTTACAGCAGCTTGCACTGAGTAAGTTACTCCCTTACCTGCTGTAACCGTATACAGGAGGGGCCTGTGCATTTGGTAGCTTGGGTTCATCCCTGAGCCTGTGAAACTTAGATTTGAACTCATGTATTTTGGGTGCCATGATTCTTGTCGAGGCAGAGTGGAAGGGCAAGGGCATGGAGCTAGATATCCAGGGTGACAACAGGCTCCCATGGTGCCTGAGTGTGCATTAAAAAAAGCACCCCTTCCACAAGACATTCTCCAAACTGTCGAACCAAACCCACCAGCATCTTCCTACCTGCCCATGTGCCAGGGTGGGGGGAAAATTAGACATGTTTGTCTCCCCACTACAAATGTCGGCCAAAAGATCCAACTGGAAAATGCTTGCTACTACCTTCCAGTTTCACGACCCTCTCAGCTAAGGAAGCCCTTCCTGCATCCATGTCTCTCTATGCCTGTCTGTGAAGTCCCAGCTCACAGCTGACCTGGTTAGGTAAGCACTGTTATTTTGTTTCAACGGAGGGAACCTTTGGATTACATGTACATAGCTAGTCAGTGGCAGCATTTGGTTCATCACGCTGGTTTTAAAAACTCCATTGCCTTTTCTCTTCATTAGTCCTATCATCTTATGAAGAAAGTCAACTCAGTACAAATATCCGTCAAACAATGGCTTAGGGATATGCGTACAGAACAATCAAATCAGCTGACAGAATATCTGGCTTTTCACCCAGTTATAAAATGTTGTGCTTTGCTTAACATGGTGAAGAACGAAAGCTGCTAACAGCTGATTTCTTTCTCCCAAAATGTGAGCCCTGCTATGGGAGAGCGCAACCAGCAGGGGGCGCTGGCGTCTTTCCCTGAACTTCAGGGCACGCTTGAGAGATGGTACCTGGTGGGTGGGCAGTGGCCTCAAGTTACCAAACGAAGGGGTGGGCGCAAGGTGTGCTGATTGGACTCCATTGGCTGCGCTGGGTTCCCGTAGCGTATGTGAGAGATACCTGTCACCACTTCCCGGCTAAGACCCAGCCAGTTTCAGCAAGGACGTTCCCTCCACTGGACCCACCAGGACCCACTCCCTGCAGGGCACCATGGTCCCTCTCAAGAGGCTTTGGAGGAACTTGGGAGTTACAGGGTGTTCCCCTGATGGGAGAGTCCCTGGCATGCCACGTGTGAATGGGACTGAGTTGGGTGGGGGAGGCTGGGAGGGCACTTGTGCTGGGTGTGATGGGGGAATGTAGTCCATGTTAGTTCCTCCTAAGAGCAGCCACTAAGAGGACTCTGGGGAGGGACAGATGGGTGCAGTGTTTTAACCCACAAATGGAAGGGTAATTCTGGCATGATGGTGGTTTTAGCAATGTTAGTAATGCACGGACCACCATAACCATGATAGTGAAGCTACATGTCTAAAAAATGTAAATCAAATCAGACCACCTGCTAAAAACGATTCAATGGTTTCCCATTGCCCCCCCTCCCTTTTTTTGAGGCAGAGTTTCGCTCTTGTCACCCAGGCTGGAGTGCAATGGCATGATCTCAGCTCACTGCAACCTCCGCCTCCTGGGTTCAAGCGATTCTCCTGCCTCAGCCTCCTGAGTAGCTGGGATTACAGGCGCGCGCCATAACACTTGTCTAATTTTTGTATTTTTAGTAAAGATGTGGTTTCACCATGTTGGTCAGGCTGTTCTCGAACTCCTGACCTCAGGTGATCCACCCGCCTCGGCCTCCCAAAGTGCTGGAATTATAGGCATGAGCTACCGCGCCCCGCCCTCCCATTGCTTTTAGTAGAAAATACAAACTCCTACCCGTGGACTATTGGGGCTATCACGATCTGGGCTCTGCATCTCCATCTTCTCATGCCAATCCCATCCTCTGCCTCCCCAACCCCATCGCCCTTCCTCCTGCATGGCTGCAGCCACACCTGGCTTCTTCTCTTTAATATTCCTACCATGCCTGCCCCACAGGACCTCCGCAGGAGCTGCTCTCTCTGGGGTGTGCACTTCTGGCTCAGGGCAAGGATCCATCTTTCTCACCCTTCAGGCTGTGTGTAGATAGATGTCCCTCTGTAGTGAGGTCCTCACTATCCAGCTCATTACGCTTCACTTCGGCACCCTGTCCAGACCCTTCACAGTCAGCTGCCAGCTGTGTTTTCTTATTTATTGGTGCTCATCCAGTCCAGTCCTGGATGGGACTGCCTGCCTCATGAGGGCAGGAGCTTTGCCTTCTCCTCTCCCAGAACCTCCCTGATGTGGTTGCTTGGACACGTGGGCCACCCTCCCAACACCAGACTATCGCAGGGTGCGGGAAGGGCTGGGGCGCCGCGGGCCTTGAGGATCGCCATGTTTCCTTCTCTAGTTTTTGAGACATTGGTGAAGATCCTCTGCCTGCTTCTAGCACACACATCCTGACCTCCTTCTGCCTTCAAGACACAAGATGGCGCTTTAAGCCTTGTTGTTAAGAAAGAGGACTACAAACGCTTGAGTTTCTTCCCTCTGCTCGCTCTCAGACGTGGCTTGCGAGGGGATTTGTGGGGTCCACCTCTCCACAGCTTGGTGGGTGGGTTCCGTCCTCCTCCTCGGACAGGGCAGGACCAGCAGCCAATCACTCCTTCCTGCCAGAGAAGGAAGTGGCGCTCAAACTGTTTTTCTGACATCAGTAATATCTGCCTACACTCCTCCAGCAGGCATCTCTGAAACATCAGTTTTGGGTGATTGGTCTAAGCCAAGCACCTTTGATAGCAAGGGTAAGCCCGCTATCCTTTGCTGGAGATGGGCATGGAGAGGGCATGTGAAGAGTGCCAGACCAGGCGTTGACAAGCTATGGCTCATGAGAAGAATGGAGTGTACATTTTTAAAGGGTCATCTCTCTCTCTCTCTCTCTCTCTCACACACACACACACACACACACACACACACACACACACAGAATATGCTGCAGAGATCATATGTGACCTGACAAGCCTAAAATACTCACTATCTGGTCCTTTATAGGAAATGCTTACTGACCTCTGGTCTAAACACTGAGAGGTAAGGGACCTCTGCTGCACCGCCCTGGAGGGATTTTTGATCCCTAAATAAGAAGAGGTGAGGAGGAAGCCTGCCCTTCCTCCTGGCCTGAATGTGCTTCTGAGAGGCAGTCAAGCCTGGAACTGTGGCAGCCGGCTTGTGACCATGAAGAAACCAGCCCAAGAAGAAAGGCCAACCTGCCAAGGAGGGAACAGGAGCCTGGGGCCTCGAGGACTTTGCTGAGCCTTCGTGTGACCCTGGAGCCACCTTCCTCTGGAGTTCTTGTGATGGCAGATAATTCAATGTTGTCATTGTTCAAGCCAGGGGTGGGCGAACTTTTTCCATAAAGGGCCACATGGAAAACATTTTAGGCTCTGTGTGGGCCATGAGATCTCTGTTGGCACTACAACCCTAAAAACAACCATAGACAATGTGTAAATGAATGGGTACACCTATGTTCCAATAAAACTTTATAAAAATAGATGGTGGGCTGAATTTGGCCCTGAGGGCCAGAGTTTGCTGTGTATTTTGTTTGTTTGTTTGTTACTTGCAGCTGACCTATCCTAACTAGTACTCCCTGAAGTCTGCCTCAGCTCAGAAGCGTCCTTGGGTTCCAAGCCACAGGGGCTAAGCTTGAGTGCGGGTGGGGTCTGCAGCAGGGTGGTGGGAGGGATAAGCACATAAAGGCCCACACATTGATCTGCCCTTTCTATGGTCCAGGTCGTGCTTTCCTGCAATATCTTCTCATCATGGGCCTAGCAATCATGATGGGAAGGCCCCACTTTAAGAGAATGCTTTCAGCATTTCCAGGCGGTCCCTGCTTGCCCTCAACACTACATGTAGGCCTCAGCTTCCACACCTAGCATGTTTGTTAAGCAAGACTAAGCCACATGAAGCAACAGGGCAAGGGGAGGGCCCTTGTGTTCTCAGGGTCCCACGGCAGAAGTGTGGTTCCGGGAGAAATGGGGGAGTGTGCCCTTCCCTGAACAAGCATATTCCCTCAGTGTGGAGGAGCCCCTCCAAAATTTACAAGTGCTGTGATGACACGATGCTCATTCAGACCACCGGCTGCAGACAGATTGCAGAAATACGTAAGGGCTCTGTCCTTGGAGGTAGGATCTGGTTGCTCCTTGTTCCCTAAGCTTGGCCCTGAAGGGAGGGCAGGATTCCAGCCAGAGTGAATGAAGAGTGAGGCTTTGGGGAAGGGCTCAGATTGCCCCTCGTGCTTGTGTTCAGATTCCTGCTGATTGGTTGTTCCCCAGGGAGACGAGGCTTCAAGGCCAGGTCTCTGCTCTGAGTTAACTTCACCACCCTGCACCTTGGTGGCAGTAAGAGAGTGACCTCAAAGGGCCGCTGAGAGAATTGAGGTGGATGCCTGTACAGCTCTAGGTATGGCACCCATTCCGGCCCCCTGGCAAGCTCTTACTACGGTTGCAGATGTAATTTCCAGTCTCTGCCTCCAGGGATTGCTGCTGAGCACAGACACGTTTCTCTGCTCACAGAGTGAGGCCGCCAAGATGATTCTCAGATCTCTGGTTCTGTATACAGCCCAGATAGCCTGTGAAAGGGGGAATGATAACTCCCAAAGATGTCCACGTCCTAACCTCCAGAACTAGTGAATGGGATGTTGGCAGAAGAGACTCTGTGGATGAGATTACTTCAAAGATTTGCGACGGGGAGACTATTGTGGGTTATCTGTGTGGATACGCAATGTCATCACAAAGTGTCCTTATAGATGAAGAGGGAGGCAGAGGAGATTCGACTACAGAAGAGAAGGTGATGTGACCGTGGAGGCAGAGATTGGAGTGATGTGCCCACAATTCACAATGCCAGCAGCCACCAAAGAGGCAAGGAATGGATTCTCCTCTAGGGCTTCTACCAAGGGTCCTGGCAACACCTCAGTTTTAGTCCAGGAAGACTCGTTTTGGATTTGTGACCTCCAGAACTATGAGAGAATACATCTGTGTTGTTTGAAGCTGCCAGGTTTGCAGTAGTGTGTTAGAGCAGCGTGGAAAATCCATTGAGTCCCATTGCCCTGCTTTTTATGCCTTGTACAAAAGCAGAAAATGGTATGGATGGAATGGGAGGTCATTATGTTAAGTGAAACAAGCCAGGCACAGAAAGACACACATTGCGTGTTCTCACTGATTTGTGGGATCTAAAAATCAAAACAGTTCAACTCATGGAGCTAGAGAGCAGAAAGGTGGTTACCAGAGCCTGGGAAGAGGAGTGGGGGGCTGAGGGCAGGTGGGGATGATGTTAGAAAGAATGAATAAGATGTACTGTTTGATCACACAGCAGGATGACTGTAGTCATTAATAACTTAATTGTACATTTACAAATAACTAAAAGAGTGTAATTAGATCGTTGGTATTAGAAAGGATAAATGTGCCGGGTGCAGTGGCTCAGGCCTGTAATCCCAGCACTTTGGGAGGCTGAAGTGGGCGGATCATGAGGTCAGGAGATCGAGAGCATCCCCGTGAACACTGTGAAACCCCATCTCTACTAAAAATACAAAAAAAAATTAGCCTGGCATGGTGGCGGGCACCTGTAGTCCCAGCTGCTCAAGAGGCTGAGGCAGGAGAATGGCATGAACCTGGGGGGCGGAGCTTGCAGTGAGCAGAGATCACGCCATTGCACTCCAGCCTGGGTAACAGAGCTGGACTCCATCTCAAAAAAAAAAAAAAAAAAAGAAAGAAAGAAAGGATAAATGCTTCAGGGATGGACACCTCATTCTCCATGATGTGCTTATTTCACAGTGCATGTCTGTATCAAAACATCTCATGTACCTCACATATATATGCACCTAATGTGTACCCAGAAAAAAATTAAAAAGAGCATAAAAGAAAAAAAAAAAAAACAAAAAACAAAAGCAGAAAAGAGGGCAAATGAGAGTCGGGGACTGTGATCTCATTTTGCCCAGGATGAAGCTGGGTGACCCGGGTACAGAGCAAGCCCCTTGGCTTCTTGAGCTCCCATGTGCAGAGTGAGGGGCGGATGCAGGGGCAGGGTGTGACTTTGATGAACATTCCCTCCAGGTGGCTCTGCCCTCGGCCCCCTCTCAGGATTGTTTGTAGCTCTTTGCCTCTTCTTGGCCATTTGGAGTTTTCAGGGGCCCTACTAGGTCCTCTTGACTTCTCACTTTGCTCTCCTTGGTGGTCTAATTCATGGCCAAGGGCCTACCTGCCGTCCAGACACTGCTTTTCAACCTGACCTCTCAGCTCCAGGCTGGTTATTTCCAACAGCCTACTTGGGTGTCTCAAAGGCACTTTACACTCAATGTGTCCAACACTGAACTCAAGGCTCCCGGCATCGCCAGTTATCCCTCCACATTTCCAACCCTATGGATTGCACTAGCGTCTGTCCATTATGCAGGCCAGGCTGCAAAGGCTGTCTCAACGCTGCCCTTATGCTGTCGGGGCTTAGAACATGACACCCCAAAGCATGGTGCCTCAGCCTGAGTATTTTGAACTGAAGGACATTGGAAGGAACTCAGAAGCAAGGTCTTTCCAACCTTCTCCTCATACCCTCTCTTCTGCTTGCCTTCATCCTCCAAAGTGAGTCACAGAAACCAGAATTTATCTTCCTCAAGATGGGTCATAGAACCTAGAAACCCTCCTGCTAAAGCAAACCATAAAACCTAGAAAGGTCACTCTCTATCTTCTCCTTCTCCTTTGAAAACTCTCATTTCAGAAAGGGTCCTGCCCCATACCCAGGAGGAATGGAGGCTACACAGAGAGGCTGAGAAGAATCTGAGCAGACAGTTTTGCTGGGTCCCCTTTCAGTCTGTTCCCAGTAGGTCATACCCGTTTGTCCAATCACATTTCTATCTGGCTGTCCATTCTTCATCTAATCTAAGCATAAAAATTAACAGTTTTCCCTGGGCCTTTGGGTTGTCATTTCTGAAGCCTCCCATGTCACATAAAACTTGGATTAAATAAATTTGCTCTGTTTTTCTCTTGTTAATATGTCTTTTGTTATAGGAGTGTTGGCCGTGACCCTTGAGATGGATAAGTAAAGGACTCACACCTTCACAGCCCTACAGCCCCATCTCCAATAAGTAGCCACACCTGCCACTTCTACCCACAAATACCTGGATTCTGCTCATCTCTTCCCATTGTCATTGCTACCACTCAATTCCCTGTCACCGTCATCTCCTGATGGGTCTTCTGGAGCAGCTTCCTCACTCATCTCTCCAGTTCATCCCTTGCTTCTACCAGTCTGTCCTTGCTATGGTAAAACGGGCATTTGAGAAAGGCAATTACACGGTTACCCCTCCCCTGCTCAGCACTCTCCAATTTGATGGACACCAAAATCCTTGCCTTGGTCCCCTTGGTCCTGCGTGCCCTCCTCTCTGGCCTCATCTCAAGCCACTGCCCTCGTGCTGCACTCTTCCTCTGTAATCCACACTGCTGGCTTCTTTTCCTTGAATGTGCTATGCTCCCTCCTGCTGCAGGAGGGCCTTGCACTTGCTGCTTCCTCTTCTTTCTTCTAGTGAATTCCTATTCCTCCTTCAGCTCTCCATTCAAGCCAGTGCCTCAGGGAAGTCTTCCCTCACCTCTAGACCAGGTCTGGTGTCCCTGCCATGAAGCCTCACAACACCATCCAGCTTTCCTTCCTTGCATCTGTCATAGCTTTTGATCATACAATGATGTGTGGGACTTTCTGAATAGTGGTCCCTCTTTACCAATTAACTGTGAGCCTCAAGAGGAAGGAATAATGTCTGTTTGCTCCTCCTCTGTATCCCTAGTGGTGGTAGAAGAGGAGGTCAATAATTATCCTCAAATGAACTAAAATGAATGGATGCTTAGATTTTTTTTTTTTGAGACAGGGTCTTGCTCTGTTGCCCAGATGTGATGATCATGGTTCACTGCAGCCTCAACCCCTGGGGCTCAAGTGATCCTCCCACCTCAGCCTCCCAGGTAGCTGGAACTACATGCATCCACCTCTATGCCTGGCTAATTTTTGTATTTTATTTTATTTTATTTTTTTAGAGATGGGCTATTTTTACGTTGCCCAGACTCGTCTCGAACACCTGGGCTAAAGCAATCTGCCCACCTCGGCCTCCCAAAGTACTGGGATTACAGGCAGGAGCCACTGTATCTGGCCCAATGCTTAAGATCTTTTGAGACAAAAAGGAGGAAGTGGGAGATAGTTTCAATACCACAGGAAGCTCAGAAAAAAAAAACACCCCCCAACCCCCCCAAAAAACATACATGTATTTATTTGATATTTGGCTGTGCAGGTTAAAAAGTTATTTATTTATTTATTTATTTGCTTTTGGAAAAACTCGAGTCAGCTTGATGAGGTCACTTTTTCCTGCTACTCCTTCTTATTTGGGGAGTAAAGGGACTTCCATGATCTGGATGGATGATTGTGATGAGGAGGTTACCGGGATTGCCCTGAGAGAATGGACTGTGAGCTTTCAGGGATGGAAGCTGCATCTTCATCTCTATAATCCCTTGTTTGGCACAGTGTCAGCCTGAGAAGATGCTTGGCGGCAAATATGAATTATGGCACACACTGTTAATTTCTTATCCATGAGCAGTTCCTTTGCTTGCTAACAGAAAATCCTGATTTTGCTTGGATAAACAAAGTGTCCAGTGTCAGTTGATGACTCAAGGTTGGTTTAAGCCAGGCTGGGGCCTTTTGTTCCTTTTTGCCTGATACTTGAAAGAGTTTACAGTAGGGACTGTCCTGTGGTCCACTTCTGGATAATGAGACATAAGGAGAAGTCTGCTGTGTCCTTCTAAGAAGATTTTCTTCACTGGTTAAAGGCGAGAGACACATCAAGAAAAGCCCCCTTTGACATAGCTTCCTCCATCTTGTTCCTGGAGTCTGAACTTGGTCATGACGGCTGGAGCTATAACAGCCATCCTGTGATCATGAAGCTCCAAGGGTATAAAGCAGTAATATTCAGGAAGGTGGAGCCTTTGGACAAAATGATAAAAGGAATCTGGGGCCTCAGCTACATCACTGAGCCTTTTCAAGTCCTTGCCTTCTTCCTCTTAAATCCTGTTATGTTACATAACTAAATGTCTTTATTGCAAAAGCCACAAGTAGTCAGGCTTTCTGTTATTCACAGCTGAAAGCATTTCTCTTATTTTCAAATAATTTCAGACTTATAGAAGAATTAATTGTAAGGCAAAGAACTTTCATGCCCTTCACCCACCTTCACCAATTGTTATTTGCCACATTTACTTTCTCCATCTATATAGTCTATTCTACTCTATTATCTTTCCCTGAACCATTTGAAATTCAGTTGCAGGCATCCTTCTCCTCTCCCTTAAACATTTCAGAACATATTCCATCAGAACAAGAAGACTCTAGTGCTCAAGTTCGGGGAATTTGAGGTTGATGCCATACAATCGTGTAGTCCTTGATAATTGTCTAATATACAGTTCACTTAAAATTTCGCCAACAGTCCCAATAATGCCCTTTAAGGCACGTTTCCCCTGATCCAGCTGTCATACCTTTTTAGTCTCCCTTAATCTGGAACAGTTCCTCTGCCTCTTTTTGTCTATCATGGGGTTGACACCGAAGAACAGTTCAGGTCAGTCCTTGAAGGTCCCTCCATCTGTGTTTGTCTGATGTTTCCTCCAGGGACCGGAATGCTACAGAAGCAATGCTGTGTTCTCAGTGTATCACATCAAGAGACACTTGGCACCCATTTGTCCTATTCCTGGTGTTGTTAACTTTGTTCAGCTCATTAAGGGAGGACCTGCTGGGTTTCTCTACTGTTAAGTTACCACTTTTTCTCTTTGCAATTAATAAACCATATGAGTGGAAGTGCTATGAGACAATGAAAACATACTTTACCTTCTTAAATTTTCACTCAGTGATGATTCTTCCTTGAATAAACTATTATGATCATGTTTGCAAATGGAGTTTTCTATTATTCCCTCTGTATTTATTCATTGGCATTCTACCGTAAGAAAGTCTTCTTCCTTCTTCCCTCCCTCCGTCCCTCCCTCCCTCTCTTCTTCTTTCTTTTCTTCCTTCCCTTTTCTTTCTTTCTATAGTTATAGGTTCTCATTTTATTCAATAGACTATAATCTACCATTATCATTATTAATTTGGATGCTCACATCATCCCAGATTTGGCCAGTGGAAGCCCCTTGAAGTTGATTGATGTGTCCTTTGACATGTCCCTGTCATTTTTTAAATGCTTCCTTGCTTTCTGGCACCACACAGCACTCTGGGCTCACCTTGTACTTCCCTACCCCAGCCTTAGCATCAGCCATTTCTACAAGGAGCTCTGAGTCCTTTTAGTGAAGGGTGGTATTTATAAACCACAATCTGGATGGTTTGTGGATATTGCACAGCATTCAGTCAGAAGCCATGGGAAATGAAGCGACATTTATTGAAACTTGTATTAGTCAAGCAACTTAATGCTAGGCTAAGTTGCAGTGAGTAATAATCCCTAACCCCAGTGACAGTGCAGAAAAAGAAGGGTTTCATATGTGGAGTGTGATGCATGTCAATGGGAGTTTCCTCCACCTGGTGACTCAGGTATCCAGGCACATTCATCTCTGCAGGTCTGCCATCTTGACACGAGGTCATTGCAGAAGGAGAGAGGGTGTAGAGTCATGCCAGTTCTTAGGTGCTCCTGACAAGGAGATCTGCAGCACTCTGCTCACATTCCTGTTTTCCAGAACTCAGCCAGTACCCAGTGCAACTGCCAAAGAGTCTGGGAAGCATAGAGAGTACACGGATAGCTGGAGATCCTTCATCACTACTGTCATATGTTCATTTATGCAATACATATCAATGGGTTCACCCCAGTCAGGCTGACTCCAAGAGGCTAAGATGACTTCACCTTGGGTGGTTTGCAGCTGGGAAAGAAAGGCAAGTCGGCACTGATCGAACAGATCATTCACTTCAGTGGGCTGTCGAGCTGTGCTAGAGGCAGGTGCAGTGTGCTGCAGAAATACAGATGGTGACTACTACCCTGGAGTCTTGGGGAGATCCTGGTGTGCATTGGTGTGGGGTTGGAAAGGTGAGTTGGCACTCACCCCCTTCAAGAAGAAGTGGGAAGGACATTTCAGGCAGGGGCAAGTGCAAAGGCACAGGGCCTGAAAGAACTAGGCTGGGAGAAGAGGATGGCATTGGAATGGGTGGGAGAGGGGTCTGCTGGGGAAAGCTGGGGAGGCAAGAGACGAGGCTGGACAAGCAGATTGTGAAGGGCCACACTGAGGAGCTGGGGATTAGTACATTAATTTTTATTAATTGGATTAATGATTAATAATGTGGGTTGCAGGGAATCATAGGGAGTGTGAAGAACACTGTGGTTGTGTTTTAGGAGGATTGCCTTGGTGGTAGAGCGTTGGATGGAGGAGATAGGAGTGGGGGTGAACACATCAACACAGAGAGACCTGCCCAAAGGCTCTGGCAGCCATGCAAGCAAAAAGCGTCGAGGACCTGAATTAGGAGGTGGCACTGGAGATGGATAGAAGGGGTTGGCTGGTGGAGCCATTTTGAGATAATGAATCAATAATAGCTTCCATCTATTGTGGATTGTCAAGATGTATTATTGGCTCACAATCCTTCCTGGCCTTCTCACATTCCTGCGACTTCCCTGTGGACAGGACAGAGCAGATTTCTTGCTGTGCACATGACCAGCTTTGGCTAGAGATGCATGAGCAGAGTTAGTGCATGCCTGGTCTGACTGGAGGCTCTAACTGAATGTGGTGTTGGGTGGCAGCACTGACCCCACCCCTGCACAATGAGAAGAGCAAGCTCCAGGGAACCACCGGCCTGTGAATGAGACACACAGAAGCAAACAGAGCCTGGCCCCCAGTCCGAGGCAAGGCTTCCCAGCTCACTGCAAATTATTAGCAAGAAATAAACACTTGTTTTGAGCTGCTGAGCCCCTGGGGCTGTGTGTTATGCAGCAATGCTGTAAAAACACTTGACCAATACAGGGACTTGCCCTTTCGTAAGTACAGCATCTCATTTACCCATGATATCTCTTCATAGTAAGGATTAGGGATGCCATTTTAAAGATGAGGCAACTGAGGCTTAGAGAGGTTACGTCACTTGCTTAAGGTTCCAGAGCTGGTAAGTCAGAGAAGGATTTGAAGCCAGGACTGTCTCCTAAGCCCATCCTTCTGCCTCTGTCTACACAGTGCTGCCTTTCAAAGGTGGCAAGCTCCTGAGTTAGCCATTTTAACCTGCCAGAAACCTCCTTGCTCCTGAACTGGGGAGAGGGACTGAGCTTTGGATTTCAAGAGGAGGATCTAGGGCCACCATCAGGGGTTCTGTGCTTGAGGTGATGTGGCTGGCTCATCACCTGAGCTTTTCCACCTGCCCCTCCCCATCCCCTCCCCTCTACCCTGCTCCCTGCCCTGTGCCAAGCTGAGCACATTGGCAGGGCTGGTGGCTGGGAGCTCAGCGTGTATCCTGTAGCCACAGAACAGAGCTTTTGTTGCTGTAATACAGAGTTCAGTCTTGATATCAGCAGTGGGTGCAGTAAAATCCCACCGATTTTCTTATCAAGTTTTCCATTTGTGTCAGTGAAGCAAATCCAATTTAAAATACATCTTCAGAAAAAGGAGGGTCAGTGAGTTCAAACAGAAGAATATTTGCTAACTGGATCAGGAAACCTTGCTCTGTGCTAAACTGTTTGAGGAAAATCCTCTTAGCACAATTTTGCAGGAGCCAGGCATGTGAAAGGATCATTTCCTCACTATCATCCCCTGAGATCAGGGCTCTGGCTGGATGAAATGAGGCAGGAGTTTATTAGCTGCTTAGCTGATTAGAGCCTGTGCTGATGAGGCTGAGGTCTGACAAGTCAACATCAGAGAGAGATCTTGGTTTCCAGTAGTTTTTAATTCTGCCCAACTCTTTGTGGGAAAGAGCCTGGGTAAGACAGGACACCAACTACTTGCTCAAAACCACCATCCCCACCAGACAAGCAGCTCATGGAACCCTCCCTGGGAAAGACTGAAGGCTGTGGAGACCTAGCCGCATATTATATTATATTTTGCATTATAAGGTCTTATCGATACAGAGAAAACTCTCAATTTCAAAAAATGATGAGAAACTCAGTCTTTTTTTTTTTTTAGATAGTCTTGCTCTGTCTCATCTCCCAGGCTGGAGTGCAGTGGCACAATCTCAGCTCACTGTAACCTCTGCCTCCTGGTTCAAGTTATTCTTCTCCCTCAGCCTCCCGAGTAGCTGGGATTACAGGTGTCTGCCACCTCACCCAGCTAATTTTTGTATTTTTAGTAGAGATGGGGTTTTGCCATGTTGGTCAGGCTGGTTTGAGCTCCTGACCTCAGGTGATCTACCCACCTCAGCCCCTAAAGTGCTGGGATTAAAGGCGTGAGCCACCACACCTGGCCAAAAAATGAAGAGAAACTCAGTGTTTTGGATAACAGGGAGAATGTTTAGTGTTCTAAAAATGTATCCTTTCACATGTAAAGCTTCTTGCCTCTGAACCTTTGCCAGTGCTGTTCCGTCTGCTAGGGTTGTACTTCCACCCTGCATGCTGGTGAATTCCACTTTGCCCTCCAGCCCAAGCATCATATTTTCCAGACAGCCATTTGCCGTGCTGCCCACCAAACAGGCTGTCCCTTGTTCTCATGCCACTGCTGAACATTGTTTATTCCTTGTGCTAGGCAGGGCTTTGTCAGTTGTAACAACTGAAACTCCACTTAGACATGTTTCAGCTAAAGGGTGACTTATTGATTTTTATAACTGCAAAGACCATGGTATGCCTGAATTTTGAGGTTCAAGTAAGTTATTTTCTCTCTCTCTCTCTCTCCTCTTCCTCTCCTCCTTCTCATTTTCCTTCTCTTTTTCTTTCCTCTCCTCCTTCCCTCCGTTCTTCTTTTCCTTCTTTTTCTCTTTCTTCCTCTCTCCTTACTTTTTTCTCTTTCTCTCCCTTTAATTTGCTCTATTCTCTATATGGGCCTCATTCCTTCTACTGCAAATAAGGAAAATGACCACCTGGAAACCCAAGGCCCACCACATCCCAGCAGAGCCACCCCAGCTGAAAGAAACCCAGCTTCTCCCTCAAGCATCTACACATCAATCCAGGCCAGAACTCCATCTGACCCTTGTGAGACATGCTTCCACACCTCGGTGGACCACTGAGGCTCGGGAATTCAGCATAATGATGGGCACTTCTGGGGTCATGGGCCTTCCCTGTAGCTAAGGTGACAAAAGGACAGACTGGTCTGGAATGTCCATGCCAGCTGGCTTACATGCCCAGCCATTGATGCTGGCTGTTTTCTGGGAGCTCAGTTGTGCTCTAGACCAGAAAACCTCCATGTGGCCTCTCCACATGACCCTCATTTCTCAGCATGGTGGCTGCGGCCCAACGGGGAGACTCTCATGAGCAAAGATTCCAAAAGACCAAAGTGGCAGCTACGAGCCTCCTCATGGCTGAGCCTCAGCCCCCATGCAGCATCAGAGCCACTGCAGTCTTGGCTTCCCAGGAGGCCAGCCCAGAAGCAGCAAGAAAGGGGACCTGGAAACCAGGAGGTTTGGTTCGAGGGAAGGCCCTCTGATATAATTTGGATATTTATCTCCACCCAGATTTCAAGTTAAATTGCAGTCTCCAGTGCTGGAGTTGGGGCATGGTGGGAGTTGTTTTGACCATGGGGGTAGATCCCTCATGGCTTGCTGCTGTCTTTGAGATAGTGAGTTCTTGTGAGATCTGGTTATTTAAAAGTGTGTGGCATGTCCCTCCCCACACCCACTGACTCTCTCTTGCTTGTTCCTGCTTTGGCCACGTGATGTGCCTGCTCATGATTGTAAGCTTCCTAGGCCGCCTTAGAAGCCAAGCAGATGCCAGCACCATGCTTCTTGTGAAGCCCGCAGAACAATGAGCCAATACAAATCTTTTCTTTATAAATTAACTTATCTCAGATATTTCTTTATAGCAACGCAAGAATGGCCTAATACGCCATCTTTGGAGACTAGCTGGCACATGGGCCTTCTCCATCTGTAGCTACACTTCTAGAACAGACATGGCTTCCAAGGCCACTGCAGCAGCTGGAGGAAGAGCTCAGGGTCCTGTGGGATGTTCCTCAGGCTCAGATCTGTGGTTCTGCCCACATTCTATTGGCCATAATCTCGCTCCCTAGCCTCCACTTGACAGCAAGGAACCTAAGGGAAGGGATCTGCTGAGGGCAATCTCTGCCACAAGGAGCAAGTGAAAGCAAGTAGAGAGGAAGCCAAGACTGATGCCCAAGTGGGAGAGGTGCTGAGGAGAGAGGTCTTTTTTTTTTTTTTTTGACAGAGTTCTGAATGTTTCAGAGTAGTCCAAGTGCACCCAAAAGCACAATAATTAAATGAGGGGCAGGAGAGTGGTTTAGAAGAAGATTGTTTTTCTGGATTCAGCTCCAACAAAGTTTGTCCTGCAGGTCTTGGTGCTGTGCCATGGTCCTTCTCGCCAATAATATTCAGCCTGGATACCCCGCTGTGGCTCTACCAGGGAGGAAAATATTTTCCTGCCACTGCCCTGAGCCTCCTGACTGACCCCAGCTGCCTTGCACATCCCAGCTTTTGGGACTACCCCAGACCTCCCTATAACCAGCAATCAGAGGCTGGCACAGCAAGGGTGCTTTGGAACCCTGCCTGGTGCTCCAGGGTGACAGGCAGCACCTGCTGTCATTGGTCAGTGTCTGTGCAGTATTTGCTAGAGTTTTGTGGATCTCAGCCTTGAAATCTGTGTCTTTCTACAGTCAAAGGATCTGAGTTGGGAGAAGACACCTAGATATGCTCCACCATAGCGTTCTGGTGTTTCCTGTCATCTCTGAAGCCTCTGAGCTCTTATAACGGGGGCTTAAAGATGGTAGCATTGAGATATGAAGGCTTGTAGTTGTTGTCCAGTTCAGGGGACTTTAACTCCAGGTATCTGGAACTTAGAATAAATCCTCATGCCCTCACCATGGCAACAGGGCTCACCTCCTCTGTCTCATACCTCTCCCTCCCTTGGCCACTATTGCTACAGATATCCTGACCCTTTTACCTCTTTATCAAATAAGCCCACTCTGCCCCAGGGCCTTTGCATGGGCTTACTTTCCTCCAAGAATAATTTACTCCTGATATTTGCCTGACTAAATCCTTCTCACCTTTCTGATTGCAAAGAGGCTTCCTTGACAACTCATTCTGAAGCAGCTTTTCCCTCCAGTCTAGCTACTTTCTCTTTCGTTATTCTGTTTGATTTTATTTACAGCACTTAGCGCTGTATGACACTGTTTATTTTGAAATTGTTTATTTCTCTCTCCTCAATAATATAAGCCCAAAAAAGACAATGAATATGTTTTTGATTCTGTTTCTATCCCCTGGCCCTAGAATAGGGTCTGGGAGATAGTTGCAGCAGAATCCCTAGCTGAAATGGCAATCTTGTGCTAACTGGAAGAAAAGAGCTCCCTTGCCCCCATCCCTGTTTTTTTTTTTTTTTTTTTTTAGATGGAATCTCCCTCTGTTACCCAGGCTGGAGTGCAGTGGTGTGATTTCGAAGAGAGCCCTTTCTTGATATACTTTGTCATCTTCTGCTAGAAGTTTTTTATACTCATTATACAAACCCACCCTATCTGTGATGTACACACCCTGTATGGCCCTGCTTCCACCCCAGCAAAAATGCTTGTGGAATGAATGAATGGATTGGTGGAAGTCAGGGGGACTGGAACATCTGCAAACAAATGTCAGTGTGTGTGGCCAGTGTCTGTGCACCTTTCTTGATTGACTGAATCTTCTGTGCATTGATTTCATGGTATTGGGCACAGAATCCCCTTTTTTGCTCATTACCAACAAAGATTTGTCAAGCACCCACTCACTGTGTTCACTTGGGGAATTCAGACATGAACAAGACACAATTTCTTGATTTAAGAAGCTGAGATTCTAGAAGGCCAGGCAGTGATGTGAAAGATGGTGCATTCCAGGGTCATAACGGCTGCACTAGGAGCCAGCCCAGGGCTCTCCTGGAGCATAGGACACCTGTTCAGTGCAGAGGACTCAGTAAGTCTTTCTGGAGAAGTGATTGAGCTGGCTCTGCAGGATGGAGAGGTTTGAAAATTGCTAAGTGCTTTGTACAACTTATAAAAATCCACGTTGCCCAGTTTCCAAGCAGTCTCATGTTCAGTAGACAAAAGGCAATTTTCAAACTGAAATTCTTTACTTGCATTTCTATTTCTATTTTCCTTCCTTCCTTCCTTTCTTCCTTCCTTCCTTCCTTCTTTCCTTCCCCCACCCCACCCCCTGAGTCTTGCTCTGTTGTCCAGCAGACTGGAGTGCAGTGGTGTGATCTCGGCTCACTGCAACCTCCAACTCCTGGGTTTGAGTAATTCTCCTGCCTCAGCCACCTCTCTATCTTTCTGTAGCTGGGATTACAGACACATGCCACCATGCCTGACTAACCCAGATGGGGTTTCACCATGTTGGCCAGGCTCTTCTTGAACTCCTGACTTCAAGTGATCCACCTGCCTCTGCCTCCCAAAGTACTGGGATTACAGGTGTGGGCCACCGCGCCCGGCCCTTTACTTGCATTTCTTAAGTTGTGTGAAGTCAGTAGGGATTGTTCTCTAGAATTCCCTTTTACTCTCCTATCCACATTCCCCCAGATTGTAGTTCCCTCACCTCTTTCACACAATCTTACCTGCAAAACTCCACCCACAGCTTTCAATACCTCTCCCCACTTCTCTGCTCTTTATTGTGAAGACAAGCACAGTTTCTTCCTTTTGGGACCATTCCTCCCTGCTCTGGCTTTTCAGGTCTAATAATGTATCCATTCTCTATCACAAAAGCCAAGCTAGAATCCTCTTTGGAGCACAGCCCAGGTCAAGAAACTGCATAGATACAGCAGAGGGAGAAACGAGGTTCAGAACACTCATGCATTAATTGTTTTGATCTCATCACAGTTTCTTCCTTTTGTTTTTTTTTTCTGAGGTGGAGTCTTGCTCTGTCACCCAGGCTGGAGTGCAGTGGTGCCATCTTGGCTCACTGCAACCTCTGCCTCCCACACGCCACCATGCCTGGGTAATTTTTGTATTTTTAGTAGAGACAGAGTTTCACCATGTTGGCGAGGATGGTCTCAATCTCCTGACTTCATGATCTACCTGCCTCGGCCTCCCAAAGTGCTGGGATTACAGGCCTGAGCCATCACACCTGGCTGGCCTCATCACACTTTCTAAACGACTATTATTAACTCATTTCCCAGATGAGAAAACTGAAGCTCAGAAAGATCAAGCGACCTGCCCAATATCCCAAAGCTATTAAGTGCCTATTCTTCCTGCCTGCCATACTTCCCTTCCCTCTGTCTTCCCCTTTGCCTACTTAACTGTGATTCAACCCAAAGAGAAATTTCCCCAGGAAAGCCTTTCCTAAACATCTTGCCTTGGCCAACCTCCCCAACTACTGTACACTTCGACAAGGCTGTGAACTTTCCCTTCACAGCCCTTGTCACATTTGTAATTGTTCATTTCCTTGGATTATTCCTGGGTTAAAGTCTATCTAGACTTTATGCATTTTTTTTTTTTTTTTTTTGAGACGGAGTCTGGCTCTGTCGCCCAGCCTGGAGTGCGGTGGTGTGATCTTGGCTCACTGCAAGCTCCGCTTCCTGGGTTCACGCCATTCTCCTGCCTCAGCCTCCCAAGTAGCTGGGACTATAGGCACCTGCCACCATGCTCAGCTAATTTTTTGTATTTTTGTAGAGAGGGAGTTTCACTGTGTTAGCCGGGATGATCTCAATCTCCTGACCTCATGATCCACCCATCTCAGCCTCCCAGAGTGCTGCGATTATAGGCATGAGCCACTCTGCACAGCCTAGACTTCAAGCTTTTAGAATAGCGTCTCTCTCTCTCTCTCTCTCTCTCTCTCTCTTTCTCTGTCTCCCTCCCATCGTATAACCAGTGAGTAAAACAACATCTGGGACATGTCAGTACTTGCTAGATATTTACTGAATAAAAGAATGAATGACTGAAATTCAAACCCGTGTCTCCAAAATCCAAGTTCTTGTCTGACATCATGACTTGTTGTTCTCCAGGAGAACAGGAGACGTCTCTCTCTGTCTCCTAGGCTGAGATTGCAGTGGCGCAATCTCAGTTCACTGTACCCTCTGCCTCCTGGGCCCAAGTGATCCTCCCACCTCAGTCTCCCAAGTAGCTGAGATCATAGGCATGGACCACCATGCCTGGCTAATTTTTGTATTTTTAGTAGAGACAGGGTTTCGCCATGTTGGCCAGGCTGGTCTTGAGCTCCTGGCCTCAAGTGATCCACCTGCCTTGGCCTCCCCAAGTGCTAAGATTACAGGCACGAGCCACCATGCACAGCCATGCATATCTCCTTTATGTAACTTAACAACATCTGCAACATTTGTTTGTGTGAGTTTTTTTATTCTGCCTGCATTTGTGTATGTGAGTCTTTTCCTATGGATTTTTCCCACCATGGCTGTAAGCACCATGAGAGTGAGGAAAATAGCTGTTTTGCTTTATCATATTTTCTCTGGTGCCTAACAAAGTACCTGGAACACAAGAGAGTCACTAATGGGATAAATACATGCATTAATGGGATTTGTCAATGAAGGGAAAAATTTAGTGCATTAGCTTGAATGAGGAGGTGGGTCCTACTGGCCTCTTGGGTAGAGGCCAGGGCTGCCACTAAACATTCTACAATATACAGGACAGCCTCCCACACCAAAAACTATACAGCTTAAAATGTCGATAGTGCTGAGGTTGAGAAATCCTGGTTTGACATATTATTCCTGTGTTAAAATTAATATATGTAAAATAATTTCCTCAGTTGTTAACATGGCATTTTTATCAAGCAATTTTGTTTTCTCTGAAATATACCTCAGATTGTTTTTAGTTTTTCCAGAGGAAACTTTATTCATCTTTTACTAGAGAAAAGAATATGGCAAACAGTGAATCTGTGTTTCAGGAAGGGTAACGTCGTTTTTCTTTTAATTTCCCTTTTGAAGCTCTCGGGGTGCTACCAACATCTTGGAAATCTGGATAATTTGAGTATTACTAAGGGAATAGTTTCATTCTACATGCTACAAATGTTTAATCATTTTATTTATCTAAAGCTCCTTTCTTGGCCAGGTGCGGTGGCTCATGCCTGTAATCCCAGCACTTTGGGAGGCTGAGGCGGGTGGATCACCTGAGGTCAGGAGTTGGAGACCAGCCTAGCCAAAATGGCAAAACCCTGTCTCTACTAAAAAAATATAAAAATTAACCGTGTGTGGTGGTGCGTGCCTGTAATCTCAGCTACTTGGGAGGCTGAGGCAGGAGAATTGCTTGAACCCAGGAGGTGGAGGTTGCAGTGAGCTGAGTTTTCACCACTGCACTCCATCCTGGGCAACAGAGCAGGACTTCTTCTCAAAATGAATGAATGAATGAAAGAAGGAGAGGGAAAGGAAGCTCCTTTCTCTTCTATTCCCAGTATTGCACCCCAAAAATAAGTAATCCATAAACCCCCAACGTATATTTCTGTTTTCTTAACTAGTTCTGAACAAAATGTTCAGTGTTGGCTGGGCATGGTGGCTCACGCCTGTAATCCTAGCACTTTGGGAGGCTGACGCTGAGGTCAGGAGTTTGAAACCAGCCTGGCCAATGTGGTGAAACCCCCTCTCTAGTAAAAATACAAAAATTAGCTTGGCGTGGTGACGTGTGCCTGTAATCCCAGCTACTCAAGAGGCTGAGGCAGGAGAATCACTTGAATCCTGGAGGCAGAGATTGCAGTGAGCCGAGATCGTTCCACTGCACTCCCGCCTAAAACTCCATCTCAAAAAAAAAGCAGGTGTTTTACTCTTAAAATAAGACATTAAAAAAATACTTCTGTTGTCTCCCCTCTTAGAACTGGTAATCTCTTCCTTCTCCACCCTCATCCCCTGCTGTGATTCTATATTGAAATATCATTGTATTTTGTGCCAGATGTCTTTGTATAAAACCAACTTAGTTCTGTGAGAAGAGTTGTACGTTTTTAATATTTTTGTTCTTTTTGTAGACTGCAGGAACAAAAATAGCCTTCCTATAGTAAGGTGGCAATTCACATTAAGAATGTAGATAAGCAAATTTAAACTTTTAAATGTAATTTGTCTAAAAAAATTGAAAAACAGTGTATAGTAAAAATCTCTCCTCCAACCAACGGAAAGCACTTTTATGTAAGATCCTTTAAGTTACTGACTTGAATCTTTACGTAAGGTAATTTGCTAGTATCTATTTTATAAATAATGTTATTTAATACTGTTTTATTTTCTATAGAATCCTGGTGTTTTTCCATGTAAATTTTTAAAAATTCTTAAAGTATGTATCCCTCATTTTCCCCTATAGTTGTTTGCTTCTACTTCTGTTTTTAAGAGATAGCATCTCAGTTGTTTAAGCTGGAATGCAGTAGCATGATCATGGCTTACTGCAACCTTGACTTCTTAGGCTCAAGCAGTCCTCCTGTCTCAGCCTCTAGAGTAGCTGGGATCACAAATGCATGCCACCATACCTGGCTAACTTTTCTTTTCTTTTCTTTTTTATTTTTTTGAGATGGAGTCTCACACTGTCACCGGGCTGGAATGCAGTGGCGTGATCTCAGCTCACTGCAACCTCTGCCTCCTGGGTTCAAGTGATTCTCCTGCCTCAACCTTCCAAGTAGCTGGGATTACAGGTGCCCACCACCATGCCCAGTGAATTTTTTGTACTTTTTTTGATAGAGATGGGGTTTCACCATGTTGGCCTGGCTGGTCTCGAACTCTTGACCTTGTGATTTGCCCACCTCGGCCTCCCAAAGTGTTGGGACTACAGGCGTGATCCATCACACCCGGCCAACTTTTTTTTTTTTTTTTTTTAAGAGACAGGGTCTTGCTCTGTTGTCCAGGTTGGTCTCAATTCCTGGGCCCAAGCAATTCTCCCACCTGGGCCTGCCAAGGTGCTAGTATTATAGGCGTGAGCCACTGCACCCAGCCCTTTATAGTTTTTTTCTTTTTTTTGAGATGAAGTTTCCCTCTGTCACCAGGCTGGAGTGCAGTGGTGCGATCTCGGCTTACTGCAACCTCTGCCTCCCTGGTTCAAGCGACTCTCCTGCCTCAGCCTCCCGAGTAGCTGGGACTACAGATGTGTGCCACCACGCCCAGCTAATTTTTGTAGTTTTAGTAGAGACGGGGTTTCGCCATGTTGGCTAGGATGGTCTCAATCTTTTGACCTCGTGATCCACCCGCCTCGGCCTCCCAAAGTGCTGGCATTACAAGCGTGAGCCACTGTGCCCAGCCAGCTCTTTATAGTTTAAGAGGAAGGATAAACCTTAAGAGATCACAACACTATATTTGTGTCAGGGATCCACAAGACTGCCTCCATGTTTGGAGATTTGCTAGAAGGACTCATGGGATCAGCTTAGGGTTGTAATGGCTAAGATTTATTACTGTAACATAGTATGGATATATAGTAGAAAGATCTCAATGGCAAAAGACACTGACAGAGTCTGGAAAAATCCATGTACCGGCTTCCTTATGTGCTGTGCCTTCCATGAGGATCACACAGACTACCTTCTTTCCCCCTTAATGAAAATACAACAACCTATGTGACTTCCCAAGAAACACAGTTTTTATCTTGGCTGGTCACATATGTGTACTCTGCCTAGCATGTGTGAAATTTCCAGACTCACAAAAAGAATAGCAGGATAAGCCACATTATTTCCATAGTCTAGATACAGTAAACCATGATTACCAGTTAGGGAACCCTCTTGAAATTCAAGTCCTCAGAAGCCAGCCTAGGACCAACTGTGCAGACAGACAGACCCTCCTTCACAGGATAATATAATAGTCTCAGATCTGCGTTGTTAATTTTTGTTTGCATAGAGTTTTATAATTGGAAGGTGTCTCAAATGCTACATATTTCTGTCTAATGGACTTTAGTAAGAGTGTTGTATAGTATACAACATGGAATTATTCTCCATTATAGGCAGGCTGTGATAAGTGTTCTAATGTTTATACAAAAGAACTCTGTAACTTTGAGCAGAGTAAAAAGAGTGTTAACGATACTTTTGACTGCAAATAGTGGAAAAATGTTGTGTTTAACTCTGAAATATGCTTTGCCTGATATTAGTATTTCTACTCTAGCTTTCTCTTGACTAGCGTAAGCATGGTATATATTATTCCATTCTTTTATTTTAACCTGTTTGCATCTTTGTATTTAACTTGTGTTTCTTGAAGGCGATAGTTTTATTTCTCTGATAAAAACATGTAAGAAGACAATCACATTAAATGTATATGGTCTAAAACCTCTGCTTTTTAATTGGGGGTATTTAGACCATGTACATTTAATATGATTGTCTTCTTATATGTTTTCTATTTATCTCTATCTGTTCCTTGCATTTTTCTTGCATCCCCCACCTGCCAAGATGGGGTCTTGCTCTGTCACCCAAGCTAGAGTGCAGTGGTGTGATCATACCTTACTGCAGCCTTGACCTGCTAGGCTCAAGTGATGTACCTCAGCCTCCCAATAGTGGAGACCACAGTTGTGCACCACCATACCCGGCTACTTTATTTTTTTATATATGGGGTCTCACTATGTTGTCCAGGCTGGTCTCATACTCCTGAGCTCAAGTGAGTCTCCTGCCTTGGCCACCCAGAGTGCTGGGATTACAGGTGTGAGCCATTGCACCTGGTCTTCTTGCATTCTTTTACTTTATTTATTTTTTTTTTGAGAGAGAGTCTCGCTCTGTTGCCAGGCTGGAGTGCAGTGGCGCTATCTCGGCTCACTAGAGTCTCCGCCTCCTGGGTTCAAGCGATTCTCCTGCCTCAGTCTCCTGAGTAGCTGGGATTACAGGTGTGCACCACCACACCCAGCTAATTTTTGTATTTTTAGTAGAGACGGGGTTTCACCATGTTGGCCAAGATGGTCTCGATCTCCTGACCTTGTGATCCGCTTACCTCGGCCTCCCAAAGTGCTGGGATTACAGGCGTGAGCCACCGTGCCCAGCTTATATTATTTATTATGATTCCAGTTTGCCTCCTTTTATTACTTTTACCTATTTTTAAAAATTATTTTTGTGGTTCCTTTAAGATTATAGTGCACATTTAGAGAGGTCTACCTTCAAGTAATATTGTACACTTCATCTATAATAAAAGCATTCCTTCATTTACTTTCTTTTCCTCCCTCCTGCACTTTGTGCTATTGCTGCCATGCATTTGACTTTTACATATGTCATAAACTCTGTAATATTTTGCTGTTTTTTTATTAAACATGTATCTCTTAGAGATTTAAATAATAAAAAATTTAAAAGATGTTTGCTCATATAGTTACCACTTTGGTGCTCTTTATTCCTTAGTATTGATCCAGATTTTCATCTGACATCATTTTGTTTCTGAAGAATATCCTTTAACATTTCTTGCAGTGAAGGTCTCCTGGTGATGAATTATTTCATTATTTATGTTTCTGGTGTGTCTTTATTTCACCTTCATTTTTGAAAGATATTTTTGCCAGGCATAGAATTCTAGTTGGCCTTTTTTCTTCTAGAACTTTAGAGATGTACCGCTGTCTTCTCACTTGCATTGTTTCTCAAAAGAAATCTGATGTTGTTCTTATCTTTGTTCTTCTATAGGTAACATGTCTTTTTATACACCTGCTATTAATAATGTTTCCTTGATTTTGAACAATTTGATTATGTTATCCCTTAGTGTAATTTTCTTCATGTTTCTTGTGCTTGGGGTTTGCTGAGTTTCTTGGATCCGTGAGTTAATAGGTCTTCTTATGGCTAGAACATTTTCAGCAGTTGTTTCTTCAAGTATTTTTTTCTCTTTCTTTTTTTTCTCCTTTGGGAACTCCAGTTACCTGCATATTATTAGGCCATTTGAAGTTGCCTGACTGCTCACTGATGCTTTTTAAAAATCACTTTTTAAGATTTTTTTTTCTTTTTGTACTTTAGCTAGTGTCTGTTCTTGTATCTTCAAGTTTGCTAATCTTTTCTTCTGCAGTTTCTAATCTGCTTTAGTTCATCCAATGTAATTTTCATCTCAAATGTTTTTGTCTTTGAAAGTTTGATTTTGGCTTTTCTTGTTTATCTCCCATGTCTCTATTTAATGTTTTGATTATATGAGATACATGTATAAAAACAGTTTTAATGTCCTCCTCTGCTAATTTTAACATCTATTTAAGTTCTGGGTCAGTTTTGATTGATTATTTTCAGTTTGCATCATGATTGTCTGCTGCTTTTTATGCCTGGTAATCCTCATTTAGTTGTAAAATTTACCGACAAAAGCAAAGTGACAAAAGGAGATAGGAAATATCATGAAAACAATTTCTCTAAAAAAAAAAAACTTATGATGCCTAATCCCCTGAATAAAGACATTTAAGCCTTTCTTGCTTCATATTTAGACAAAAATCTTCCTGCTTATGTTCCTATTTCATCTCTGAAAACAGTGTAAGCAACCAGTTGTCCGAGGCACCATTCTTGGACAGTAATAATGTGCTGTCCTTAGTATATGAAGATGTAATTACTGTAGTAGCAACAAAAACCTAAGCTTTTGGATTGGATTCTGTTTTGGTTTTATTTTCTTCTACCACTACAATAAATGACACATAATCTTTCACTCTTAACGATAAATGGTGCATAATTTTAAGACAATTATGTGGAATTCAGAGAGAAATTCATACTCATGGAACACGATTTATATTCTGTGAAGTGTTAACAATGACTTAATGAATGAACACGTAATCTGATTTAACTAACACCATCTTATTAATTGATATTACATACACAGATCAAAATTTTGTAATATACTGAACAGGACTTAACAGAAAACTACATATATGTAAGTGATTAATAATCTTTCAATACGATGATGAAGCCAACAGAAAACTATAAAAACTATATTTGAGAAAGATGGAAAGTGGTAATAGGAGTATATATGTTCTCCAATTCTAAATTAGAGAAAATCTTACGAGTCAGCAAGTTAACACTTAATTTGATTATTTTTGATGTTACCAGCCCCAGAAATAGCATTCTGAAACAGATTACAGGCTTTCTTCTTTCTATTTGTTGATACATCAACTACCACAACTCACCTTTCATTTTGTTGCTAAATTTTCAGAATAAAGTGTGTGTGTGTGTTAAAATTCTCCTGCTAAAATAATCTTTCTATGTTCTTACATATTTAGGTTTGGAATATGGTTCATGATGGCAGAATTGTCCAGGTCAATATAGTAAAATACTCTGACCAAGACAGTAGGACCCAGACTCAAGCTGGGGAAGAGATAAATAAGCTCAGTTAAAAAGAAAAAGAGGGCCAGGAATGGTGGCTCACACCTGTAATCCCAGCACTTTGGGAGGCCAAGGCGGGCAGATCACCTGAGGTCGGGAGTTCAAGACCAGGCTGACCAACATGGAGAAACCCTGTCTCTACTAAAAAATACAAAATCAGCTGGGTGTGGTGGTGCATGCCTGTAATCCCAGCTACTCGGGAGGCTGAGGCAGGAGAATCGCATGAACCCGGGAAGTGGAGGTTGCGGTGAGCCAAGATCATGCCACTACTGCACTCCAGCCTGGGCAACAAGAGCAAGACTGTCTCAAAAAAAAAAAAAAAAAAAAAAAAAGAAAGAAAGAAAAAGAAAAAGAGGTTGGGCATAATGTCTCAAGCCTGTAATCTTATCACTTTGGGAGGTCAAGGCAGGAAGATGGCTTGAGTCCAGGAGTTCAAGACTAGCCTGGGCAACACACTGAGAATCCATGTCTACAAAAAACTAAATAACTTAGCGGAGCAGGGTGGTGCACACCTGCAGTCCCAGCTACTTGGTTGGGAGGCTGAAGTGGGCAGATCACTTGAGCCAGAGAGGTTGAGGCTACAGTGAGTCATGTTTGTACAACTGCACTTCAACCTGGGCTACAGAGCGAAATCTTGCCTTAAAAAAGAAAGAAAAGAAAAAGAAAAAAGAGAAGAAGAAAAGAAGAAAGAAAAGAAACTTGCTGCATAGACATGACCATATTCATTTGAAAGCAAGTTAGTAAATATGTATCCTGAAAAGATAGTTTAGAAAAGAAACTTACAGACCATGACCAGAGTGATTATAAAACATTCTCTTAACAGTTAGCAGGTGGAATAAAAAGTGTATTCTTTAAAATGATTTCATTACTAGTAAATAGTTCTATAAGGAAAAGTAGGGGGAAAAAGGCAAAGAAATATGAAACTAAGTCAATGAAAAGCAAATAGGCTATGATCACACATCTAAAGGCCATGAACATGGCAAAGAGTATTTTAAAGAATCTAAAAAGTGTACTTTGAATTTTAAAGTATTTTAAGAGATTAATTTTATAAAAGGAAAAACAGTGTTATCACGCAGAAGGACCATATTTAGTATAATCAAAAGTTTAAGAAATTGGCCAGGCGTGGTGGCTCACACCAGTAATATCAGCATTTTGGGAGGCCGAGGCGGGTGGATCGGATCACCTGAGGTCAGGAGTTCAAGATCAGCCTCGCTGACATGGCAAAACACCACCTCTGCTAAAAGCACAAAAATTAGCCAGGTGTGGTGATGCACACGGGTAATCACAGCTACTTGGGAGGCTGAGGCATGAGAATTGCTTGAATCTGGGAGGCAGAGGTTGCAGTGAGCCACGATCATGTCACTGCACTCCCGCCTGGGCAATAGAGCAAGATTCTGTCTCAATCAAAAAAAAAAAAAAAAAAAAGAGTTTAAGAAATTAAGGAAAGCTGAGTGTAATGAAACCTTTTCAAGGGTAGTAGTGGTATAGCTCAAACCTGGTTTGAATTCCAGCTTTGTCACTTACTGGGTAAGTAAGTAGCAGCCTTAAGCCCAACTGGTGTTTGCTATTTGCACGTATTTTCATAAATAAAAGTGGTCTGTAATGTTTTTACAGTGTTGTCAAACTTCAAGATTATTAAAACTATTAATATCCTGTTTAATGTTTAAGAATAAATAACTATTTGATATCTTTTAACTACTGTCCTATCACTGACTTTTAAGACTCTTACTGACAATTTTGTGATTTTTTCATGTAATCATCCTTTATATCTTACTTAGCAAGTTCTCTATTAGACATATGTCTGCTGAATGAAACTCAATTACAGATATTTTTGAACATTTATTAAATTTAAATTATATTTGTACTTGTAAGAAATATTTAAACAATGCTTTGTTTTTCTAAAATAAAAGAAAACTAATAGCACAAACCTTCATTTTCTAAGTGTGTCAAGTTGTTTTGTTTTTTTTATTTGCTTGTGTGTTTGTTTTTTGAGACTGAGTCTCCCTCTGTCGCCAGGCTGGAGTGCAGGGTGTGAGCTCGGCTCACTGCAACTTCCAACTTGCTGGTTCAAGTGATTCTCCTGCCTCAGCCTCCCAAGTAGCTGGAATTACAGGCATGTGCCCCTACGCTCGGCTAATTTTTTTTTTTTTTTTGTATTTTTAGTATAGACCGAGTTTCACCACGTTGGCCAGGATGGTCTCCTCCTGACCTCGTGATCCACCCGCCTCGGCCTCCCAAAGTGCTGGGATTACAGGTGTGAGCCACTGTGCCTGGCCTATTTTAACTGTTTTATGTCTTCTGGTTTCGTGTGACAATGAAATGAGTTAATATTTCCTGCCTGCACCAACCACATTTAGGCTCTACCTTAATTGTTGATGAGGTCTTGGAGCCTCCCTTCTGCTCCCAGAGGCTTTTCTTGCTCATGTCTCCAGCCACAATATCCTGGGGGCAGCAGAAGGGTATGTCACAAGGGCAGACCCCTGGATCTTGGGGAGTAGAAGCCCTGGGCCCTTCTCTCCTGCCTTGCCTTACCTGGCCAGGGGGCCTGGGATCTGCCTACCAAAACTTTTTCTGTGCGATCCCAGTGGAAGAAGCAGGGAAAGGAATAAAGGTGCCATCCACCTCCACTCGGACAACACAGCCTTCTACACCAGCAAGGGTGAACCCAACCCTACTGCAATACCTCAGGGTTCTGTCTGCCCACATTCATCCTGGACAGTCCCACGCTTGTCTTAACAAGGAAACCTGGCCTGCTACTAAACTCCCCGGTGCTGGCTCTGCAGCCCAGCCTTGCCCCTGGAGGGGACCTTACCTTGCAGGACGGAGTCTTGGCCGCAGACTGAGCCTGTACCTCACCCGTCTCCCACCAACTCTTGGTACTGGACGCAGCCATGCTGGGCAGCTCTATGGAGGCCTGGCGGGCTAGCTTGGGGGTCTGGCCAGCAGTCTGCAGAGGAGGAAAAGCATCAGGATTACCTTAGTGGACAGCCACCGTGGTCACATCAGAGGGTCACACTGGGCAACCCTCTGCTTTGTGTTTGTGTTTTCCCTGGGAGCGATTTCCCAATGCAGCCCTAGAGTGGGGATCACTGGAAAGATGTGCCTTCCTCCATTCAATGCAATTGTGAGACACCTCCCTTTCCTGAAGAGCATCAGGGAGATGATGGCGCACAAGACAGATGTGGGTCTGCCTCCATGCTGCTCATGGGGTAGGGCTGGGGGACCATGGGATGGATGGAGGGACATTGAATGGATGGAGGGACAGTGGTTAAATTGCAGAGTATTGGTTGGATGGAGGAGCATTGATTAGATGGAGGACTATTGGTTGTATAGAAAGGTGTTGATGAAGGAATATTGATTGGATGGAGGAGTACTGATTATATGAGGGAGTATTTGTTAGATGGAGGGGCACTGATTGAATGCAGTAGTAGCCGCGTGGCTGGGGGCTGCTGGGCCTCGTTCCACATGGGGAGGCAGAGCCTGGGGTGCAGGGGCCCTCATGCTCACTCACGCTCCCACTCACGATCCAGCCCCTCCAAATGGAGGGCGGCGCAGAGCTGGGGCAGAGTATTGAGGAGGTGGAGGGGTTCCACGGAGGAGAAGCCTGGCCATGTTGCTCCCCATGTTCCCATGTCCCAGCCCCTCCATGTGAGCAAGGTCTCAGCTGGGGTGTGTGTCCTTGGGCCTGGGGCATGAGATGGAGCCCAAGCTCCTCCTTGGACCTGGGCTTCCAATGGGTCCAGGGCCCTCACTCCAGCTCCACAGACCCCCTCCACCAAGCCATAGGGGGGGCGTGGCTTGGAAGCACACATTGGCACAGAGACCCCAGAAGCCCGTGTGCACACGTTTCCTTAGGTCCACCCCTAAGGGCAACGAGTCCGGGCCCCAACAGCCCCATAAAGGCCCTCACTCTGCTCACAGCTCATGCCCAACACATGGAGTGTGGCCGGGCGCGGGACTCCCTAGGCCTGGGGCACATGCAGGTGCACACCCAACTCACACACATTCTCCACGAGCCCACGCTCCGGCCACACAGGCACACATGCCTGCACCCCATGCTCATACAAATATGCACGTGCTCACACACGGGAACCCTTGACATCCACGTGCATGTGCAGACAGGCTTGGGAACAAGGGGACCACGTCCCCCTCCAGGGATCCCTTCAGGGTGCTGCAGCCTCACTTTAGTGAGGCAAACATTGACTGTTTGCCTTGCCATGGCCCCGACAACGGCGGTGCCGGCCCTGGCACGAGGCCCAGGTGTGTACTCTGGGAACATCATCCATGCAGAGCTGGGCCCCTGGAGGATCACTCTGACTGAGCTCTCCCTGGCTAGGGGCCTGGGGGACAGAGTGGGGATGCAGAGTAAGCATCTCCTGGTGTCTCCCCTAAAACCCAGTGCTGGGGAGAAGCCCCGCCAGCCCCTGGCCTCTGACCCAGCAGAGCTGAGAACGTGGAGGCCTCTGGGCCCCTTCTCCGTCTCCTCCCTTTCCCCTCCCCCAGGATATGAGTCATGCGGGCCCCCTCCCCATGACCTCACCGCATCACTATTCCACAGCTGGGCTCCGTTCTGGGAACTGAAAGGGGGGCAGCTCTCCTGGGGTGGGGTGGGGGCCTCTGGCCTGGGAAAGGCGCCCCCCGGCCAGCGGCCCAGGCCCCTTGGCATGCACCACGGAGCTGTCAGGACTCTGGGATGGCCGACCCTGCCTGTGGCCCCGGCTCAGCCCCGTGCAGCTGCGAGGGATTTGGTGTTCCTGCGCAAATGCAATTAGGCCATTTCCTATGTCTGTTCTGGCTCCGAAGTCCAAGGTTCAGCCCAAGCGGCCAGGCGGTTACGGGGGGGCTCCATCCACCTCCCATCCCAGCACACACCCCCACCCTCACAGTCCCAGGCTCCACTTCGGGGCCTGGCCCCCAGCCAGGGACACCAGTATGCACAGAACCCTGAAGGATGCCTCGTTCTGAGTGGAGCTCCCCAAGCTCAGGTCTGTTCCTGTCGGCCTCGTCCACTGCCAACCACCCCCGACTCGGGACACTGGCCCTTCTTCTCCTTCCTCCACAGACCTCCCCACCTCTACCTCCCAGTCCCCACTGAGGGCCTGACAATGCCCATCTTCGGCCCAGCACTCCCAGCTACCCACTGCCGTCCTTCCCCTGCCTGGAAGTGCAGACACTTCCAGAATGGGTGTCCGGCTCGGTCCCCGTCCTGACTCTGCTCCCTACAGGCAGCTCCTGTGGCTGCCCCACCCAGCTGTCCTGAGCCCAGAGGTCGGCTGGAGAGGGTCGGTCCTCTCTGGGGTCCTGGGGAGTCAGGAGGCTCTGGTGAAGAGCAAGGGCTGCAGGGAGGATGTCGAGGGGAGGAGGAGCTTCTCCTCCAGGCCTGACCACAGGTCTCCTGGACACCACAGGGAGCTGGCGGGAGGACTGGGGAGTTGGGCAGGGCCTTCCACCAGGGTGGTTCGGGACTCCCTGCACAGCACTGAGGTCTCTGGTCCCCTCATTAGCCCAGCCTCCCGTGGGATCATAGACTTGACCCCTCAAGTCACTGCAGAGCCCAAGAGTGGAGAGACACAGCACCGTGTGCCGGGAAAAGGTGCCCACAGGGGCCCTTCATGGCTGAGGTTTCCAGAGGGTAGTGGGACGGCAACCCCGCTCCCCACCAGCCGCCCACCACAGCGTTCATGATACAGCTTCGGAGTGTGGGTCGGGGTCTATCTGGGAAACCAGGGCAAAGGCGGTGGCAGCTGGCAGCACCCACACCCACAGCTGGGGCACTGCTCACATGAGCCCCCATCAGCAGGCCCCTTGGTTGTGCCACAGGCAGGGGTCCTGCCCCAGGGAGGGGGTAGTCCGGGGGGGGGGGGCTCGAGGGTGTGGCACAGGCCAGCTGTCACTCCTCCCTGGAGAGGCAGCTGGGGACGCAGCTGGGAGGGGAGCCAGGAGCAGAGACAGCCCGGGGCCAGCAGGTGGGTGACAGGTGGGGCAGCGGGAGGGGCACGTGCTGTCCGCCTGGGGCTGGGGTATAGAGACGGGAACCTGCCCCCCAATGCCTGGTGCTGGCCCAGCCTCCCCCCGGGGCCTCTAGCACCTTCCCAGTTGTGTCTGCATCCTCCTGGGCGTGGCGGGGGAGGGTGGGGGTCAACCCCTTTCCTTGTAGTCCCGCGCCAGTGGGCAAGGGAGACGCCCCAGTGAGCAGGAGCCTAGCCTCTCTGCCTGGGGAGGCCAGGTGATGAGCCACCCGGAGTGGGAGGAGGCCTTGAACTTGGGTCTGAAAGATGAGCAGGGGTTTGCTGGGCCGGGTACAGGCAAAAGCTAATGCAGGAAGGCAGAGAGCAGGAGCGCTTAGAGGGAGTGGCTCTGTGCAGCCGGAGTCAGATGGGTGACCCTCACGCAGGAGGAAGCACTGGGACCCTCTCTCCTCACGCTGGGTCCCCCGCCTCCCTCTAGGATCCCCACACCCAGGTCCTTCTGGGCCTCTGCCACACAGATCAGGTCTGGAAGGCTCCCTGGAGGAGGCGGCGCCTAGACTTGGACATAGGCCTGCAGAGCTGATTTCTCTCACAACCCTGGGAAGACAGAACTCCTCAGCGGGTTGATGTGGAGGAGAGCGGAGCCTCCCTCCAAGGCACCAGTCCAGTGCTGGGGGCGACACAGAGAGCCAGAAGCTGGCGGGGGTGGGAGGCTCTGCCCCCCAAGGGCTTTACATGCCGAAGCCCCATGGCCGAGCTGGGACCCAGGGTCAGCCCAGGCAGGCCGCGAGAAAGGAGACTGTGGGCCCCACCCCATCACACAGGGAGGAGGTGCTGTGCCCGCTGGGGGGGCAGCTGCCCCTCTCTGGGCTCTTTGGGTGGGAAGAGGCTTGGTGAGGTAGAAAGCCCAGCCCCTGCCAGCAGCGTTGCCTTCTCACAGTGGCAGCCCTTTGTAACCCGGGGGGGGTCCCTGCAGGGCCTCTCCCTGTCTTCTCACCATGGGGCAGCATTTGGGGGCCTCTTGAGGGACCCCCTAGATGCTTCTACTCAGAGCCCCCAAAGCCAAGGAGCCTCCACTCCTCCGTCTGCAGCCTCCCCTGCCGGTTCTTGCTACCCAGGGTTCAGTGGCCTGGGGGCTGACGGAGGGGGTCGCCTCTGCCAAGGCCCCTCCCGGCGCCTCCCTGGCTCATCCAGCCCACCTTCCTCCCACGCTGGCTCACGCAAAGCGCTCTGGTCACCAGGAGCCCTTCCTGACCAGCCCCGGCCCCTTCTTGGCCTTCGCCCCACCTGGCCTCCCCTGGATCCCTGACCTGGGTGCCGGGCCTGCTGGGTCCAGAGCCCACCCCGCCCTGAACAACCCCGAGCCTCAGCCACCCTCAATTCTTACCCTTTCACAGCTGGGGAGTGGAGTCTGGGCCTGAGGTCTCCCGTGCGCCTCTCGGCGCCTGCGCCCGCGCTGTGCACCGCCCCGCGCCTGCGCCCGCGCTGTGCCTTTGCGAGGGCGGAGCTGCGTTGTGCTCAGCACAGACTCGGAGAGCATCGCGAGGGCGGAGCTGAGTTCTCCTGTGCACAGACTTGGGAGATACAGCGAAGGCGGAGCAGTGTTCTCCTTGGCACAGACCCGGGCGGGCCAGGGGCACCGCGAGGGCGGAGCTGCGTTCTGCTCAGCACAGACCAGGGGGACAACGCGAAGGCAGAGCAGCGTTCTCCTCAGCACGGACCTTGGGGGCACTGCCTCGCTTTGGGACAACTCGGGGCCGCATCGACGGTGAATAAAATCCTTCCTGTTTGCAGCCCTGAATAATCAGGGTCAGAGACCAGTTAGAAGGGTTCAGTGTGGAAAACGGGAAACCAAAAGCCCCTCTGAATCCTGCCCACCGAGGTTCTCCCCAGCCAAGGTGAGGCGGCCGCAGTGCGAGAGCCACACCGCAGCCTCGGAAGACAAATGCAGCATTCCTAATGCAGACATGACACTCAAAATATGACACCCCCCTTGCTCATGTAACAAGCACCTGTAGTGCTAATGCACTGCCTCGACACAAAAACATTAATATAAGATCCACAATCCCCTCGCTGCCGTGCAGTCCTAAGACAGCGATCATAATAATCAACATTGACATAGTCAATACAAACGTAGTAACGAACCTAGGGTTAAGGTTGGTGTTAGGGGTTAAGTTTAGGGTTAGGGGTTGGAGATAGGGGTTGGGGTCAGAGTTAGGGGTTAGGAGTCAACATTTAGAGTTAGGGGTTAAGAGAGGTTGGGGGTTAGGGATTAGGGGTTAGGGTTGGGTTAGGGGGAGGGTGAGAGTTGTGGTTAGGGGTTAGGGTTAGGGATTAGGGTTAAGGTTAGGGGTCAGGGTCAGGGGTCCCACTCTGTTGGCTATTTACTCTACTGACTGTTCCCTTTGCCATGCAAAAGCTCTTTAGTTTAATTAAGTCCCAGCTATTTATCTTTGTTTTTATTGCATTTGCATTTGGGTTCTTGGTCATGAAATCCTTGCCTATGCCAATGTCTAGAAGAGTTTATCCAGTGTTATCTTCTAGAATTTTTATAGTTCAGGAATTAGGTTTAAGTTTTTAATCCATCTTGAGTAGATTTTTGTATAAGGTGAGAGATGAGAATCCAGTTTTATTCCCCTACATGTGGCTCGCCAATTATCCCAACATCATGTGTTGAAAAGGGTGTCCTTTCCCCACTTTATTTTTTGCTTACTTTGTCGAAGATCAGTTGGCTGTAAGTATTTGGGTTAATTTATGGGTTCTCTCTTCTGTTACATTAGTCTATGTGCGTATTTTTAAACCAGTACCATGCTGTTTTGGTAACTATGGCCTTATTGTACAGTTTGAAATCAAGTACTGTGATGCCTCTAGGTTTGTTCTTTTTGCTTAGCCTTGGTTGGGCTACATGGCTCTCTTTTGGTTCCATATTAATTTTAGAATTGTTTTTGTAATTCTGTGAAGAATGATGGTGGTATTCAGATGGGGATTGCATTGAATTTGTAGATTGCCTTTAACAGAATGGTAATTTTCACAATATTGGTTCTACCCATCCACGAGCATGGGGATGCGTTTCCATCTGTTTGTGTCATCTATGATTTATTTTCTTTCTTTCTTTTTTTTTTTTTTCTTCAGAGGGAGTTTCGCTCTTGTCGCTGAGGTGGGAGTGCAATGGTGTGATCTCGGCTCACTACAACTTCTGCCTCCCAGGTTCAAGCGATTCTCCTGCCTCAGCTTCCCGAGTAGCTGGGATTATAGGCATGTGCCAACATGCTTGGCTCCAACTATGATTTCTTTCAGCAGTGTTTTGTAATTTTCATCGTAGAGGTCTTTTGATTCCTTTGCTAGGTATATTCCTAAGTTTTTTTTTTTTTTTTTTTTTTTTTTTTTTTTTTTTGCAGCTATTGTAAAAGGGGTTGAGTTCTTGATGTGATTCTCTGCTTGGTAGCTGCTGATGTATAGAAGAGCTACTGATTTGTGTACATTAATCTTGTATCTGGAAACTTGGCTGAATTCTTTTATCAGTTCTAGAAGCTTTCTAGAGGAGTCCATAGGGTTTTCAAGGTGAAAGATCTTATCGTCGGCAACCAGTGATAGTTTGACTTCCTTTTTACCGATTTGGATTTCCTCTGTTTCCTTCTTTTGTCTGATTGTTCTGGCAAGCACTTCCAGTACTATGTTGAAGAGGACTGGTGAGAGTAGGCTCCTCATCTTGTTCTAGTTCTCAGAGAGAATGCTTTCACCTTTTCCCCATTCAGTATTATGTTGGCTGTGGGTTTGTCATAGACGGGTTTTATTACATTAAGGTATGTCCCTTGTATGCCTATTTTGCTGAGAGCTTTAATCATAAAGCAATGCTAGAGTTTGTCGAATGCTTTTTCTGCATCTGTTGATATAATCATTTGAGTTTTTTTTAATTCTGTTTATTTGGTATATCACATTTATTGACTTGCATATGTTAAACCATTCCTGTATCACTGGTATGAAACCCACTTGATCATGGTGGATTATCTTTTTGATATGTTGTTGGATTCAGTTAGATAGTATTTCGTTAAGGATTTTGGCATCTGTGATCATCAAGGATATTGGTCTGTAGTTTTCTTTTTTGGTTATGTCCTTTCATGGTTTTGGTATTAGGGTGATGCTGGCTTCATAGAATGAATCAGGGAGGCTTTCTTGTTTCTCTGTCTTGTGGAATAGTGTGAAAGGATTGGTGTCATTTCTTCTTTGAATGAAAGAAGACATTCTTTGAATGTCTGGTAGAATTCTGCTGTGAATCTGTCTGGTCCTCGGTTTTTTTTGTTGGTAATTTTAAAATTACAATTTCGATCTTGCTGCTTGCTTTATTGGTCTGCTTGAGGTATCTACTTCTTCCTGATTAAGCTAGGAGGGTTGTATTTTTCCAGGAATTTATCCAACTCTCCTAGGTTTTCTAGTTTATGTGCCAAAAGGTGTTCATAGTACCCTTGAATAATCTTTAATATTTCAGTAGTGTCAGTTGTAATATCCCCTGTTTCATTTCTTAGTGAGGTTATTTGGATTTTCTCTCTTCTTTTCTTGGTTAATCTTGCTAATGGTCTATCAGTTTTATTTATCTTTTCAAATAACCAACTTTTTGTTTTATTTATGTTTTGTATTTGTTGTTGTTGTTGTTGTGTCAATTTCATTTAGTTCTGCTCTGATCTTGGTTATTTCCTTTGTTTGCTGGGATTGGGTTTGGCTTGTTCCTGCTTCTCTAGTTCCCTGAGATGTGAACTTAGATTGTCTGTTTGTGCTCTTTCAGACTTTTTGACATAGGTGTTTAGGGCTACAAACTTTCCTCTTCGCACTGCCTTTGCTGTCTCCCAGAGGTCTGGGTAGGTTGTGTCATCCAGTTCGAAGAAATTTTTTACATTTCCATCTTGATTTCATTTTTCACCCAATGCTCATTCAGGAGCAGGTTATTTAATTTCCATGTATTTGCATGGTTTTGAAGATTCCTTTTGGAGTTGATTTTCAGTTTTATTCCACTGTGATCTGAGAGAGTGCGTGATACAATTTCAATTTTCTTAAATTTATTGAGACTCGTTTTATGGCCTATCATATGGTCTATCTTGGAGAAAATTCCATGTGCTGTGGAATAGAATGTGTATTCTGTGATTGTTGATGAAATGTTCTGTGTATATCTGTTAAGTCCATTAGTTCCAAAGTATAGTTTAAATCCAGAGTTTCTTTGTTGACTTTCTGTCTTGATGACCTGTCTAGTGCTGTCAGTGGAGTATTGAAGTCCCCCACTATTATTGTGTTGCTGTCTATCTCATTTCTTATGTCTACTAGTAATGGTTTTATAAATTTGGGAGCTCCAGTGTTAGGTTCATGTATGTTTAGGATTGTCATATTTTTCTGTTGGATGAGACCTTTACCATTATATACTGTCTGTCTTTGTCTCTTTTAGCTACTGTTGCTTTAAAGTTTGTTTTGTCTCATATGAGAATAGCTACTGCTGCTCGCTTTTGGTGTCCATTTGCATGAAATGCCTGTTTCTACCACTTTCCTTAAGTTTATGTAAGTCATTATGTGTTAGGTGAGTCTCCTGAAGGCAGCAGATAGTTAGTTGGTGAGTTCTTATCCATTCTGTGGTTCTGTATCTTGTAAGTGGAGCATTTAAGCCATTTACAACCAACATTAGTATTAAAAAGTGAGGTACCATTGCTTTCATCATGCTCTTTGTTGCCTCTATACTTTGTTTTTTTTTTTGTTTTTGCTTTTTAACTTGTATTTTTGTTTTATAGCTCTTGTGTGATTTATGCTTTAGTGAAGTTCTGTTTTGATGTGTTTCCAGAATTTGTTTCATGATTTAGAGCTCCTTTTAGCAGTTCTTACAGTGCTGGTTTGGTAATGGCAAATTCTGTCAGCATTTGTTTGTCTGAATATGACTGTATCTTTCCTTCATATATGATGTTTAGTTTTGCTGGATACAAAATTCTTGGCTGATAATTGTTTTGTTTGAGGAGGCTGAAGAAAGTGCCCCAATTCCATCTAGCTTGTAAGGTTTCTGCTGCAAAATCTGCTGTTAGTTTGATAGGTTTTCCTTTATAGGTTACCTAGTGCTTCTGTCTCACAGCCCTTAAGATTATTTCCTTTGTCTTAACTTTGGATAACCTAATGACAATGTGCCTAGGCTAAGATCTTTTTGTGATGAATTTCCCAGGTGTTATTTGTGCTTCTTGTATTTGGATGTCTAGGTCTCTCACAAGGCCACGGAAGTTTTCCTTGATTATTCCCCCAAATACATTTTCCTGGCTTTTAGAATTCACTTCTTCCTCAGGTACACCAATTAATCTTAGGTTTCATCGTTTAACAGAATGCCAGACTCCTTGGAGGCTTTGCTCATATTTTCTTGTTCTTTTTTCTTTGTCTTTATTGGATTGGGTTAAATCAAAGACCTTGTCTTCGAATTCTGAATTTCTTTCTTCTACTTGTTCAATTCTATTGCTGAGACTTTCCAGAGAATTTCACATTTCTAAAAATGCGTCCAAAGTTTCCTGATTTTTTATTATTATTATTATTATTTATTTAAGCTATTTCCTTGACTGTTTCTCCCTTTGCTTATTGTATCATTTTTTGGATTTTCTTGCATTGGGCTTCACCTTTCTCTGGCCCCTCCCTGATTAGCTTAATAACTAACCTGAATTCTTTTTCAGATAAATCAGTGATTCCTTCTTTGTTTGGATCCATTGGTGATGAACTGGTGTGATTATTTGGGGGTTGTTGAAGAGTCTTGTTTTGTCAGATTACCAGGGTTGGTCTCCTGGTTCCTTCTCATTTAGGTAGACTCTGTCAGAGGAAAGTTCTAGGGCTGAAGACTGTTGTTCAGACTCTTTTGTCGCACGGAGTGTTCCCTTGATGTAGTACTCTCCCACTTTTCCTATGGGCATGGCTTCCTGTGAGCCAAAGTGCATTGATTGTTGTCTCTCCTCTGGGTCTAGCCACCCAGCAGGTCTACCTGGCTTTGGGCTGGTACTAGGGGTTGTCTGCATAGAGCCCTGTGATGTGAACCATCTATGGGTCTCTCAGCCATGGATACCAGCGCCTGTTCCAGTGGAGGTGGTGAAGGGTGCAATAGACTCTGTGAGGGTCCTTAGCTTTAGTGGTTTAATGCTCTATATTTGTGCTGGTTGGCCTCCTGCCAGGAGGTGTTGCTTTCCAGAAAGCATCAGCTGTAGTAGCATGGAGGAACTGGCAGCGGGCAGGGCCCTAGGACTCCCAAGATTATATGTCCTTTGTCTTCCACTACCAACTTAAACATTTGTGAGAATTTCAATATCAGAAATTTATGTGTAATCGAATTTATTCTGGTAGCCTAAATTCTGGTAGCTTATTTTCTTATATGCTTCAATCTTTATAATTTAGTTCTCACATGAGGGAGATCTAATATTGGAAATACTTTCAATCTGTATGTTTATGTATTTATTCTAGTTGTCCTGGCACAAGGTTATCAATGTTGCTGCGTGACCAGCCATTGGCTTTTCACATTTACAACTCCTCTGAATTTTTTCTTGCCTCATTTCTGGTGCTGGGAAATTCTGATATTTTCTCCTCATCTCCATTGTACATTTTAGGGATTCTTGAAACTTGTGATGCACAAACATCCACACCTTCCACATAAGTAAAATATTTTACTTAGATATTTTCTAGCAGACACTGAGTTCTCATGAGAAATCCTCAGTCTCTTTATTTGGAACACCCCCACCCCAGTATTCCATATGGAGTAGTTATGTGTAGAATGTGATTACTTCATTAATATATCGAAGTATGGGTACATTTTGAACACATTTGTGAACTTGTAATCCCTTTCTTGATGAATAGTACCTGCGGATGAGCAGAATTGATATTTTCTCTGGAGCAGTAAGTTAGCACTGGTAGAATCTGTTCTGTAATCCCAGGTCCCTGGGCTCCAGTGTCAATGCTTCCTCCTTAGATCCTCCCTGACCCTGTAAATTTACCTCAGTCTCTATTTCTTAATCCAATAGCTATTTCAATTGATCTTCAATTACTTTGCATGTGGCCAGATATTATTTATGGGTTATATTCTAATTCACATTTTTCTGATGTAATTTCAGAGAGCCTAGAAAATATAATAAACTCCTTCTGACAGGTACTTGAGCCTCAGTATTTCAACATGAACAAATGCAGCATCTATTCCCTATCATGAGCACTCTAAATGGCAGTTGAGTGTTTATATCAAAAAAAAGTCAGGAATCATAATCATTTAGAGATAAAAGAGATCCCAGATCTGAAAAGTCAGCTAGCTTAGGAGTTTCAAGACTTTAGGATTTCACAAATCAATAAAATTAAAAAGAAAAAAATGTAAGGTTTAACATAGAGATATCACTTAAACAATGACTACTATTTTGATAAAAGGACATTCAACGGTAAAGGCGTGGGAAATATAACCTCAGAGATGAAAATGTAATAGCTTGGGCCAAGCTCATTAAGTGTCCTTATTTTTGTGTTTCCACCATGGATGGCTGACACTGTCACCTCTGGCATGAGTCCACATCAGCACCCTGGAAATGCCTCCTATAGGGTAATCCTGCAGAAGGCACTAGCAACCCCAGACTCGGGCAGACAGCTGGCTAGACAGTGCTGCTGGGAGAGTACTGCCTCTCAAAACCCGTCTCTCTGTACCAGCTGCCCAGTGTTTCTGTTTCTGCCTACTTGGAGGAACAAAAGCAATCCTGCTCCTCTCCCCAGAGACAGGTAATTATGCCGCATTTTCTTTCCTGTTTCTTACATGACAAGCACTCAAAACTTGTCACTCTTTTGGTTCTCTCCAGTGCCCTCCAAACAGTCCATGTTCAAGCCAAAGAGGAATCACTTCTGCTTACCATGTTAACTTTTAAAATAGTTAACTGCAGCCTGCATTATGAGGATAGCATGCCAGCATAAGGAAGTTAGCATCATCTAGAGTGACCACAGAAGCTGCATCTGTCCGTGTGACTGGACACTGTATATGTCCAGATCTCTGCAAGGAAGAGTCATGTCGTACTTTAGAGTATGACTGAGTCACAGTCAGAGGGAAGTGATTCCCACAAGCAGCTCCCAGCCAGTAACTGAGCTTGGCAGGGATACTGAGGCAGGTCCCTTCCTGGGAGAAATGGGACTCCAGAAGTCCTGGACCCTCTCTACTTCTTTTTATACCTGCTTACAATTTAGCCAATTCTTTTCTGAGCTCATCTCTTTCTTACAGTAGTGACCAAGGGATGTTACTAACGTTCAGTTTCCCCATCTTTTCACCTTAAGCTTCAAGTTCCTTCAGCACATCATCCGCCCTTCAAGTTATTCCTACAACAGCTTTACCAAATATTTCACCACTGCATAACATAGATTACCATCTTTCCAACCCTCAGTAACGGTTCTCTTGCTGACTGCCATCTGGCCCTAGAGCCACATATTTTAGGGTTTGTGTTTTGGCTGCTCCCCACTCCTGGTACCATAACACCATCTATCAAATCTACCTGTAGATCATGAAATTAAATAGGGCTTCACCAAAACTGCTATGGAGGTGGGGAGAGGGACAATTGGAGTGGAGCTCAGAAAGCTGCACTTGCAGAGTCATTTATGTAAGACTGTGAGTGTGCTGCTGGTCCACATCAGAGGATGGGGACTACCATGGTCTGAAAGTCTGTGTCTCTCCAAATTTCATATGTGGAAACTTAATCAAGGTGATAGTTTTAAGAGGTGGGGCATTTAGGAGCTGATTAAGGCATTTGGACAGAGCCCTTCTGAATGGGATTAATGACCTTATAAAAGAAATGAAGATGAACAAATGACCCCTTCCACCACATGAGGACATAGCAAGAAGGCACCATCTTAAAGCAGAGAGCAAGCCCTCACCAAGACACTGAATCTGCAGATGCCTTGATCTTAGACTTCCCAGCCTCTGAAACTGCAAAAAAAAAAATAATAATAATAAATAAATAAACTTCTGTTGTTTATAAATTACCCAATCTAAGGTATTTTGTTTTAGCGGCTCAAAGGAACTAAGACAAAGGTCATGGAGACCATAGGGTGAGTCTCAAGACTTCCCCCAGCTCTACTTGGCTGGTCTCCTGCTGGTATTTTCCGTCTGTAGAGAGGAAAAAGAACTCCCATTTTATCTTGCTTACCTGCACTTATGAAAAGTCAAACTGAGTCATGTTGAGAGCCAGGGAACATAGGAGTCGGTTCTTCAGCAGGAGCACTCAGCTAGTTGAAGGCAATGTGGAGTGATGGGAAGAGAGCAGTGATGCAGTGATGCTGCCATCAACTCCTTTACTATGGAATCCATTGTACCAGCTGCCATACACCTGGCTACTTCTACACCTTATCTCTAATCACTCCAGAATACGTATTAGTTTCCCCATCTTCTAGAAAGGAAAACTCAGACCCAGAGACACTAAGCAAGTAGCTCAAGATCACACACATTATCTGTGATTAAGCCTCAGTTAGAACTGGAGTCTTGGATTTCCACATTTATGCCCTTTTCATGAAGCTACCTAACTTTGATCCTCAAGTTTTCCCATCTATAGCATGTGACTGCTGGACTAGAAATCTCTAAGTCCCCTTTACCTCTTGAATTCTGTGTCTCTAAGGATGAGAATAACAAAACTCCTTTGCCTCTAGCACTTTCCACCTCAAAGCCCTATCACTCTCATTACATCTAATCACTGCAGCCAGAAGCATTAAATAAAATGGAAGGACTGACATTGGGAGTGGGCGAGGCAGAGAAGTTGGGGGCGTGGAGAAACAGCTCTTTTTACATAATGATTGCTACTATGATTTGGTTATAAATAACCAGTGAAGACAATCAGGCTTTTCTGGCAGTCCCTAATTGTAGTGAATGTTGGAATACAGTGACCACCCAAATGCTCTAGACTGATTGGGAAGGTGCCACTTCTAAACCAGCTGGGCTAAGTGCATTGCATAAGCTGAGTATTTAGCTTAATGATTAGAGCCAGTTGACGAAACACAAGAATATGGAAGCCTCCTGCTACTTCTCAGAAGATAAGACAATGGCATTCCACCACCAGTGTTTACTGTGGTACCAAAAGGGAGCTCCAGTTACTTCCCTCTGTGCCTATAACCCTTGGATCACCTGGTTGCACCAGACCCATCCTGACTAAAATCCCTCCAAAGGACCAAAGAGGAGATATGGACAAAAATAAAAAATAAATCTCATCTGCTCTCTTTCCTAAGGACCCAGCAGCCTCTATCCATCCGTCGTTCATTCACTCATTCCACACACTTTCATCTAGCCCCTGCTGAATGCCAAGCACTGGGCTGGAACTCTGGGGACTGTGGAGGTGGAATAGGAGAATATGGGCTTCCTGTGAGCAGTGATTGCCTAAAATATATACATCAAGGTTGTAGGATCACGTGCACCACTGCACTCTAGCCGGGGTGACAGAGTGAGACCCTGTTTCAAAAAAATAAAAAAAAATTATAGGATCATGGAGAAAGTGTCTTAAGTGTTTGGTGCTGTGGACAGGCAACACAGGCAGAAACTGGTGGCTAGGGAATCAGAGAAGTTTTCAGGAGGGAGCATTTGACTTGGGCTTGAACTGAGCATCATAGGGCAATATAGAAACAAGTTTATGGATAATTCACTGAATTGGTGGCAGTTTATAACTTGAATCTTCCTTCAGATGATTGAAGTTAGTAGCCCAGCTATGAAAGTCTAGGTTACAGATGTCTCAGCCACAGCTTGCATATATATGGATGAGGTTCATACATATGCAGACTTGGGCTCCTGCCAAGATATGAGAGTTTTGGTCAGTCTCTGTCTCAATTCTAATGTCTCTGCCTACATACTTGAGTCCAGAGTTGTCATGCAAAGAACAGAACCCTGGAACAATCACACAGGGATTTGGTACTAGGCTTAGCCATTTTCTAGCCATGGGGGCAAAAGAAAATTACTGAACCTCTCTGAGTCCCAGTTTATTTGTCTATAAAATAGGGATAGTGATACTGGGGTTACAAGGAAATTGTGAGAATTAAAATAGTTCAGGAGAGGTTAAGTTGTCCTGGGGCCACCTTTGTCATTGCAGTGACCACACTCTGTAGTGAGGGCACCCTTGAGAGCAGACAGCAGAGCTGCTATGTGATTCATCTCTAGAATCCATGATTCTTGGAACACTTCCTGAGAGCTATTAGGCATTCAAGAAATGTTAATGGTAGATCATAGTATAATGGTAGATCATAGTATTGTGATAGATCATAGTATTGTATTATTGTTCAGCAAACATCTGTTTTCCCTCCTTTCAATGGAAGTGGTGTACTTCCCCACCCCACTGACATTGGGCTTAGCCATGTGACTTGCTTCAGCTAATGGAATGTGAGTGACTCAGTGAATGCCACATCCAAGCAGAGGCGTTAAATATTCCTGCATGGCCTCTGGTGATCCTATCCTCCAGCATGAGATGAACATGCTTCAGATAGCTGCTGCTACTCCCCTGGATCCTCTTCTGAGAGCCAAGTGAAGCAAATAGGAACCCAATTCACCACCCAGATCCAGGCCCATCTGAATCTAGCCAGCCCAGAAGAGCCCTGTAGAACCACAGCTGACCTATGGAAATGAGAAGTAAATGTTTGTTGTTGTTAGCATTGAGATTTGGGGATTACTTTTTATGTGGCATCATCACAACAAAGCCTGACTAATATATTGTATAAAGTTAATTGAGTACTAACAACATGCCAGGTATTGTTCTAAGTCCTTTATATAAAGAATCCCATCTAATCCTTACAGCACTGCATAAGGAGGTATCATAAGTATCTCCATTCAGCTGATTAGAATTGAGGCATCTGGTCAATCCCCTTCATGTTATTCCTCCTCACTTCCTGCATCCGAATGAACCAAGCCTCCTGTGTTCATTAGAACCACAGACCAAGCCTACTGGAGAAAGACAGGGCTGTGAAGATGGGAATGAATTGGCAAACAGCTTTGGGATGACAATGTTAAGGCCAGGCAAATGCTCTCAGTAACCTCAAATGAGTGTTGATGTTCATGAAGCCTGCTCAAAAAAGACACAGAAATTGACGTCTTTTATCTGAGGACCCTTCCTTAGCCTCAGGACTTAAGGCTATGGGAGCATGAGCCACATAACCATGAGAGGCAGGGGGTTCAGTGAGAAGAATAAGCTCAAGAGTTTCACCTGTGGGTCAGAATCTCAGCTGTGCCACACATACTGTGTGATCTTGAGCAAATCACCAAACCTCTCTATTCCTCATTTTTGTCACCTGTAAAGTGGGACTATTACTTGTACCTACATCCTGGATTTGTTGGGACAGTAAATGAGTTAGTGTTCCCAAGGTGCTTAACACAGAGCCTTTGCATGCAGCAAGCACCCAGTCAATGCCCATGACCATGGCCCCCTGCTCATGCTGCTCTTTGGTTCCCCCTGAGGTCTTTTGGGGACAGAGAGTGTGAAAATGCCCTCTACCCACACAAGGAAACAGGACTCAGGGACAGAGGACCTGTGCCCTGACCAAGGCAATGCATCCCTCACCATATATGCAGTGGTGCATCCTTTCCTGTTGCCTTTTGGATCAGCAATTAAGGCTTTAGTCTTTTTTGTTGGTGTGCAAAGGTATTTTCTTAATGGCCCTGCAGCCCAGCCATCACAAAAATGCTTTCCAGCTCTCAGGGAGAACATTTCTGATGCATGCTGAATCCAGAATTCAAATGAAGCAAAATAAAGGCACCAGGGGCTCTTACGAGACAGAGTGACTCAAAATAGAGGGAATGTGGGGACTTGGGGCATAAGATTGATCATGAATCACCAAATAGAAAAACCTTCGGATGGCTTTCAAGAAGAATCCTCCTTGAAGTTTTAACTTTCACCTACAAGCAAGTTTTCTCACTGCTCTGTACAGCAGGGTAAGGACAGCAGCCTCACAGCATCAGTCTGAAGATAGAATGGGTTAATGCAGCCAGGCACAGTGGCTCATGCCTGTAATCCCAGCACTTTAGGAGGCCGAAGCAGGCGGATCATGAGGTCAAGAGATCAAGACACCCTGGCCAACATGGTGAAACCCCGTCTATACTAAAATACAAAAATACTAGCTGAGTGTGGTGGTGCATGCCTGTAGGCCCAGCTACTTGGGAGGCTGAGGCAGGAGAATTGCTTGAACCTGGGAGACGGAGGTTGCAGTGAGCCAAGATCGCACCACTGCACTCCAGCCTGGGTGACAGAGTGAGACTTTGTCTCCGCAAAAAAAAAAAAAAAAAAAAAAAAGAATGGGTTAATGCCTGAGAACTCTTTGGCACAGTGTCCAGCACAAATTCAGCAGTCACTCAGTGTTGGCTATCATCTTTGGTGATGTTGGTCCCAAACCCAGACCTCTGCTCTTGTCCTCGGCTCATACACCCACCTGTATAGCCCATATGCACTTTAAACATGAGTCCAAAATGGAATCCAAAATATTAGATGCCCTCGTTGCCACCACCAGGTTTGCTTTCCTCTCAAGCCACTGAGGGATCCACAGAAGCAGAGACCATGATGAGAACCCATCTTTAACTCTGGGTCACTAGCACAGGGGCAGAGTAGGCAGTCACTACATCTTCAGAGCTTGTGAGTTTTATTTTGCTTTGTTTTGCAATCTGTCATCCCCACACTCTTACTATATAAGACAGTGCCTAGCCAGACAAGCATAGGTTTAAATCTCCACCTTGTCACTTCTTAGCTGTGTGACCCTGAGCGACGAGCTTGAGTTTTCTGAGCCTCAGCACCTTTAGCTGTACAGTGAGAATGAACAGACCCCCTCACAAGGCTGCTATAAAGAATTAACGAGGCTGGGCATGGTGGCTCCCACCTGCAACCCTAGCACTTGAGGCCGAGGTGGGTGGATCACCTGAAGTCAGGAGTTCGAGACCAGCCTGACCAACATGGTGAAACCCCGTCTCTACTAATAATACAAAAAATTAGCCGGGCATGGCGGTGGGCACCTGTAATCCCAGCTACTCGGGAGGCTGAGGCAGGAGAATCGCTTGAAACCAAAACCGGGTGGCAGAGAGAGGTTGCAGTGAGCCAAGATTGCACCATTGCACTCCAGCCTGGGTGACAAGAGTGAAATTCCATCTCAAAAAAAAAAAAAAGGAATTAATGAGATCACTCTGCACAAATCCTAATGTGGCATCTGATACAGGGTGAGTTCTAGTAAATGAGCATTTTTTACACTCAAGATGTAAGAGTGATGGTTTCATTATTAGAGATGAGAGAACCAAATTAATAAACGTTTAATCATGTACTTAAAATCACACAACTGGGACTCATAACCAAGCCCTTTTCTTCCTGGTCTGATGTTCATTCCTTGTTGTCTGAAATGTCAAATCATTTTACCAGAATAGCAGGGGAGAGAGGGACAGAAAGTTGCTTAAATTATTGATTTTGTTTTAGCAGCCTCTCATCCTGCAAGAGGGGCTTGCAGTAACAAAGGCCTGGCACCTTTGAGTTTGTTTTTGGTCCATTTTTTAAATCTTCATTCCCTTTAGCTCTTGTTGAAAATGGCTTCCTGCCACTTTGCACAGAAAAATCTCTTTCATGAAATACCAAAACCAAACAAAAAACAGGCCTTCGAAATGCTGTTTTGCCTCCTCCTAAGAGCTAACATTTGTCAGTTGTAAATTAACATTCCTTTCGCTTCTTTCAACAGAAAATCAATCAGGGCCCTAAAATCCCTGCACATCTGTATTTAATCCACAAATAATTCAACAATGTTCTATCTTAATGGGATATTGTGAGAAAAGCATAAATGTCATCAACTTCTTTTACGTGGAAAGAACAATAGGGCATGAACTTGTTTGTGCTCCTGATGTCCTTCAGAAATGGATTCCTAAGGACCAGGGGTGTTCTCCCCACCGACGGTCCACAGTGCCACAGCAAGGACAGTCAACTGGGAGTTGGGAGACCTGGACTTCAGTTCACACCACTTTGCTGGGGTACTTGGGCAAGTCCCTCAGGGCCTCAATTTCTGCATCTGCACAACATGGGGAGTGGTCAACATGATTTCCGAAGTCTCTAGCCAGATTTCAAATTTGTTTACAGCACACAGAAAATTGCTAAAGAGAAAAAACTATAGTGGCCATTTCTGTTCAGGCTGCAAAATCTTGTGCACTATTTACATATTTAGGTATGAACTGTCTCAAAGGGTCTTTCATTTAAAAATGACCAACATGGAGAAACCCCATCTCTACTAAAAATACAAAATTAGCCAGGCGTGGTAGCGCATGCCTGTAATCCCAGCTACTCCGGAGGCTGAGGCAGGAGAATGGCTTGAACCCGGGAGGCAGAGGTTGCTGTGAGCCGAGATAGCACCGTTGCATTCCAGCCTGGGCAACAAGAGCGAAATTCCGTCTCAAAAAAAAAAAAAAAAAAAAAAAGAGGATGTAGGCTACAGCCATATACCCTGAACATGCCCAATCTCATCTGATCTTGGAAGCTAAAAAGGGTCAGACCTGATTAGTACTTGGATGGGAGAAAATGAAGGTGGAGATAGTTCTTTGTGAAGACACATGTGTGTACTTATTTGTGCACTTGTGTGCTTGCAATTGCATCTTGGGCACATGTGTATTGTGGAGGCATCTGTGTGCCTGTGGAGTGTGTATACATAAGTACCTGATGTATGTTTGGCTGCAGAGGCACAGAAGGTCAGCAACAGCAGGTGGCTGCATGCAGGGGCACTAATAATTACTCATTTTATACAAACTGTTTAGCAACAATGTTAGCTATTCTACTGCTGACTTTACGAACAGAGAAAATGTGGCCGGACACCATGGCTCCTACCTGTAATCCTAGCACTTTGTAGGGGCTGAGGCAGAAGAAGCCCTTGAGCTCAGGAGTTTGAGACCAACCTGGGTGACATAGTGCGACCTAGTCTCTAATAAAAATTAAAAAGAAAAAAAACTATCCAGGTGTGGTGGTGCATGCCTATAATCCCAGCTACTTGGGAGGCCGTAGCAGGAGGATCACCAGAGCCCAAGAGTTTCAGACTGCAGTGAACCATGATTGCTCCACTTCACTCTAGCCTGGATGACAGAGCAGGACCCTGTCCCCCTGCCACAAAAAAAGAAAAGAAAAGAAAAGAAAAAAGAAACATAGAATAGAAAACGTCTCCTGGTTTGCATCCTGGAATAGAGAAATGAGCACAGGCTTTCAAATCAAACAGTAGTGATTCATATCCTGCCCCTGGCACTCACCCAGCATCTCTGAACCTGAATATTTTCATCCAGGTTGACTTAAGGATGAAATGGAAAAAGGTTTACAAAGTACCTGGGGCATAGCAAAGGATTCAATAAATGTTCTCTCCCTTTTCTTCTATATTAGTTATCTATTGCTAAATAACAAATTAACCCAGAACTTAGCAGCTTAAAACAGCAAGTGTTTTTCTGATAGTGTCTATGAGTCAGGAGCCCAGGCAAAGCTTCTCTGGGTCTTCTGGCTCACAGTCTCCCAAAGGCTGCAATCAAGGAGTAATATAAGGCTATGGTCTCATCTGAAGGCTCAACTGAGGGATGCTTCCTTTCCAAGCTCACTCATGTGATTATTAGCAGGTTCAGGTTTTGGCTGGCTCTTGGTCAGACACTCCCCCAGCCTCTGGTTTCTTGCTACTGGGCCTCTTCATAGAACACCCACAACATGGCTGCTGGCTTCCATCAGAACAAGAAAGCAAGAAAGCAAGAGAGCAAGAGAGGGTGAGCAGGATGGAAGTCATTTTCTTCTTGTAACTTCTCAGAGGTGCTGTTCATCAGTTTCACCATATTGTGTTTGTTAGGAGCAAGACATTAGGTTCAGCCAAGATATAAGGGAGTGGAGAGGATTATACAAGGGCATGAATACCAGGAGACATGGATCACTGGAGGCCATCTTAGGGGCTGCTGGGAAGCCTGTCCTCCAGCCCCCAGTGATTCACATCCTCCACCCCATGCAAAATACACTTGTGTCCTGCCAAGATCCCTAAAAATCTCCTCCCCCTTCAGCATCAACTAAAGTTCAGAATCTCATCAAATCAGGTATTGGGGTGGGGACTTCTTGAGAATGACTAGTCACATGCAGCTCCTAGAGTACAGTTCCTCTCTCTCTGAGAGCCTGTGAAACTAGAGAGACACAGTATCTGCTTCCATACGCCTAGCATTAAATGGTATAACAGGCATGGGTTAGCTCTATATCTGTCTCCTTTTTCTCTAGATGTTTGATGAGACAAGTATTTTAATTTTGTATTCCACTAATTTATTCATTCAACAAATACTTATTAGGTACTGACTATAGACTCTTTATTTATTTTGCATTCCCATTTTGCCAACAAGGAATCTGAGAATCAGAGGCAAAATATTACAGCTTGGCCCACTGAATTATTTTTTCTTCTCTGAAAGGACCTCTAGGGTTCTCCATCAATGAGGACTTTCTAGTCACAGCTGCAGTGAGGTTTGAGTTTAGCTGATTAGACCATCAACCACAAAGACTATACATTCAAATACTTTTATGTGGCAGAATATCTAAGAATAATTCAAGCTAATAAAAGATCTAGAGAATAATTAGATATATTCATTGTTAATAAGAGCCCATTTAATATTGTAGCAAAGGCAAGATCAGGGCAGGATCAAGGCAGAGAATTTTCAAACATGCCTAATGATAGTGTAGACTAATGGTGTTTTTCAATTGTGGCTATATACATTCTAACACATTCAATTTTTTTAAAAAAGTGAAGCTTAGGTCCTATTCCTTAGAAATTCAGATTTAACTAATTTGGAGTGGGCCCCAGACATCAATATTTTAACTTTCAAGTGGTTCTAGGACAGACAGGTTTAGGGGCTGTGGAGAGACACAGAATGGCAAGTACTTAGAACATTCACACATCCCCCCACCTCCCAAGCTCCTAATAGAAATCATTTATTAACCAGTCCCCTCAATGTCATTGGTTGGAATGCAATTGTGTAGTCTTTCTCATCCCAGGACTCCAGGCAGCCCCTACCCATGAAGCCAAGTTGACATATGAATGAAGGCATATGTGTTAGCCCTGACAAGCCACACTGGGCATGCTTTCCCAAACCTACAAATTATCAAGGGTGTAGAAAAATAGAGCCCTCTCCATGCTGAGCAGATCTCACTCATGTAGACAACTGAGGTCTAATTACCCATTGGAAAGGGCCATTGGAAGAGCACAGGAAAAGGTCCAAGATGGAGAGGGAATTTACAGCCAAGTCTGATAATGGTTTCAGAACCTCAAAATACTTCACCTGGAGAGGATCCATGGGCAATATACACGAAGGAGCTCTCCTCTTCCTGAGTCCCTCCAAAGAGTTGTGTAAAGCCCAAAAGGGGGGCTCTCCAGGAGTAGATGCTCTTCAAATCCCACTTCTATCCCTTACTAGAAGTATAACCTGGCTTGCTATTGAGCCTCTCTCAGCCTCCTTTTCCAAATGAGGACAATGGTGCCTATGTCACAAGAATATTGCAGTGATTCCATGAGAAGATGTATACAAAGCACCTTGCCCAATATATAGTCAACAAATGCTGGTTGTCACCTTTATTCTGTCAGTGTTGGTGGAGTGCTGGTACTCATAGTTCACTAAGAGGTTTTAGGACAGCAATGATCTTAGAAGAGAATCAGATCAAAGTTCTGAGTGTTTTCCCTGGAACTGGCATTGTATTATTAATATCCTACAAATGGGAGACATGTATCCCCTGGTCTCATACCTGGAATATCAAAATGGTACTTCATTAACAGTGTCAAAGCAAAAGTCTGATGGCTCTGCCTGCTCTTGTGAGTAGGGGTACTCATATTCCCTTTAAGCCCTTCCCCCAAATTGGCCTAGAGGTCCAGGGGGTTCCACATGGGCTCAACATTCTCTGATTAACTCTCCCCTCATATCAACAACTTCCTCCTATCAAGCTTGACATCTTGTCCTATTTCTTCCTATTCTAGGTGTAGGCAAGTCTAGTTTGCTCTTCAGCTACTCTATCCCTCTCCTGCATATTGACTCTTGAATTCTTGATCCCTAGTAGCTTCTCACACAGTCTGTAAAATGGAGCATGGAACCACTACATAGAAACAGGAAGGTTCTGCCCTGTACTCTCAGCTCTTAAGGGCACAGTCACAAGAAGACCATTTTTAAATTCTCATTGTGTAACACCCTTACACATTCCACATGCATCATAGCACATAACTCTGACAATAAACTACAAGGTAAGCAACTAATTATTCCCTTTTTAATATTTTTTAAACCTAGGAAGGTAACTTAATCTCTTTGACTTCCAGTTCTCATGAACTAGAACATTAAAGAATCAAGATTTGAACCAGAGGTGATGGTTTTTAAAATATGTCTGCTAGATATCAAAATGAGTGCATGGGATTTGATATATGTACATAGGTAGGCATAGAAATAGATAGAGATGCTCAAGGATATGTGTATGTGCACATATGAATATGTGTGCATGTATATACATGTATCCATTTCCCAACTCTGTCTTTTAAGAGGATATAGAAACAATATCACCCCAGTAACAATAAACACCCTAGTGCCCACATCTTGATTTCTCCATATCATTTTCTGCTAGAAGGAACCCTGGTCTCCTTGGAAAAATGGATGATTCCAAGGCTTGGACAGGGAATACACAAGATGAGTCTGACATATCTCATGTTGAAAAGTAACAAACTACTCAAAGAATAATGACAGCATGTCAAAAGGACACAAGAACCAACTTAAAGGGCTCCCACTCACCAAATCTAGGGCAACCTAAATATCATGATAAGTATGGATACCCTCAGTTCACTGAGAGATTTGAGGTCAGGGACAGTCTTAGAAGACAATAGAAAACAGTGTTCTGAGTGTTGCCCCTAGAATGAGCATTGTGTTAATATCATAGAAATGGGACACATGTGTCCCAAGGTCCCATACCTGGAATGTAAAAATAGTATCCATTAACAGCATCAAGTAAAAGATTATAACCTATTATAAAAACTAGAAACCCGGGCTGGGCATGGTGACTCAAGCCTGTAAATCTCAGCACTTTGGGAGGCTGAGGCGGGAAGTCTGTTTGAGCCCAGGAGCTTGAGACAAGCCTGGACAACATAGGGAGGCCCCGTCTCTACAAAAAAAAAAATAAAATAAAATTACCTGGGCATGGTGGCATATGCCTGTGGTCCCAGCTACTTGGGAGGCTGAGGTGGGAGGATCACTTCAGCCTTGGAGTCAAGGTTGCAGTGATCTGTGATCATGCCACTGCTCTCCAGCCTAGACAACAGAGTGAGACCCTGTCTCAAAAACAAACAGAAAACTAGAAAACCAAGATTCTATGCCGATGTCAATAATATAAACAAGTGTTCTTCCTTACAGTAGAAAACCAACAATACATTTAGAAAGATTACAGAATTTTTTTAAAAAACACGATTTGACAACCACAGTAATAACTGATTCAGGGAAGGGCTACTAATAAATGCTAAAACCAATGGATGCAAGTTTGAGAAATAATAGGATATCTTCATAGTCTCAAAGTATTTCTCCAAAGGAAATACATATTAATTATAAAGAGTAAAACGGTGGACAGCACCGTAACCCCATGAACAAAGTTAACATTGCTAGTAATGGGGCTAATTAATAGCACCTGCCCCTCATGCCTTGAGCTACAGGAGCTCAGCATGGCATCAGTGATATTCCTGCCCAACATGCATAACAGAATCTAATCATGGAAAAGCACCAAAAAACCGAAGTTGAAGGACAATTATACCAAGTAACTGGCCAGGTAATCTTCACAAAGGTCTGTGTCAAGAAAGACAAAGCAGCAGAAACTTTCAAATTACAGGGGACAGCTAAATGCAACACATGGTCTTGGATTGTTTTGTTATAAAGGACATTATTGTGAAGTCTGAATAAAGTCTGTAGATGAGATGAGAGAATTCCCTGTTTTTAGGAAATATGCAACAAAATATTCAAGAGTAAATGGGCATCACACCTTAGATGACTCAGAAGAAAAAGGGAAGAACAGAGATAAGTGATACAGTGAAACCCTGATGTTTGGGGGATCTGGGTAAACAATGTTTAGAAATTCTTTGTACCGTGTTGCAAGGTTTCTGTAAGTCTGAAACTATGTGAGAACAAGTGTTTTAAAATAAAGCATAAAATGTAAAACATCTCTTCTGCAAATTCTTTGGCACTCCTCCCATGAAGAGGTAAAGTCTAATCACCTCCCCTTGAATATGATTTGGACGTAATGACTCATTTCTAACCAATGAATATGGTGTATGGATGCCTAATTATAAAAGAAGATTCAGCATGTATCAGAACAAGGAAGTTCTGGGGCATGTGTTTTGTGTAATTCACGCTCTGTGTGGTTCATGTGCCCATTGCTCAGATAAAGAAGCTGGAGCTCAGAAAGGTGCCCAAATTCAGAAGACTAATAAATGGTGGAGCCAAACTTCAAACTTAGGGCACTGGAGCCTCCAATCCCAGGCAGGTGGCCTTGTGGACGGGGAGCTGGGACCTGGAGTCTGCCTGCCTGGCCAAGGCCTCTCGAGTGCTGCAACATGGGTATTTGGAGCCAGATAATTCTCTGTGCACCATAAGTTGTTTAGCAACATCTTTGGCCTCTACCCAGAAGATGGCAGGAGCACCTGACACCCAGCTGTGACAACCAAAAATGTCTCCAGACATTGCCAAATATCTGTGGGGGTGCAGGGTGCAAAGTTCCCTCATTTAAGAACCACTGACCTAGGGTGGTTCCACTACTTACTTTTCACATGACCTTGGACAAACAACCTTGTCCTCAAGGTCCTCTGTGCCCCCATGTCCTCACCTGTAAAATGGAAAAATAATAACATGTGAGGTTAATGTGAGGAATAAATAAGAATCCAGGAAAGCAATTGGCCCATCATGTAAGAGCTACTTTGCCCATAACCCTAGGGTGCCTTCCCTCCAAACACAAAGCTGTGCACAGAGGAGGTACACAGTGAAGATCTGCTGTTGTATAGCTGTGGGGATGAATCAATTAACCATTTCAGTAATAAATGAACAAAAAACTGAATGTCCTGATCTGTGCACTAGTGCATTTGCTGACTGAAGATATCCTGGCATCCTCTCTCACCATCAAAGAGCAGTTAGGATTAAAGACTCCACAGCCAGGCTACCTGGGTTCAAGTTGAGCTCTGCCACTCAGGAGCTATGTGACCACAGGCTGGTTATTTAGCCTGCCAATGCCTTCATTTCCTTATCTGTAAAATGGGTTAATAAAAGTGCTTACCTCACAGGGCAGTGAGAGTGAAATGAATTAATACATGTATTTTACCCAGCACAGGCTGGGTCTCCATCATGCCTGCTGCAATTGCTGCTACAGCAATTAACATTAATCCTATCACACTCCTCTTTTATAGCCCTCCAGCCACACTCCTCCAAGGGTGCCAAGAACAATCCCATTTCCAAGCCTTTGCACTTGCCACTCCCTCTGCCTGGATTGCTCTCCTTCCCAGACATTAGCAGCCCTCCAATCCTTACTTCATCAAGGTCTCTCTTCATGTGGCTCTTTGGAAAGTCCTCCCCTGACCACCATAAATAAAACAGCAGCTTCACCACCCTACTCACCCTGGGCTTTTTGCAACATAGCAATTACCCCTGCCTGGCATTATCTATCCTGGTCAGTACAGCACAGTGCAATGCAGTGCAGTATAGTACAGATCTCTTTATTGGCTTATCTCTCCCCCAGCTCACATAAATGTTCCAAGAGAGCAGAGAATTTGATTGACAACTATATTCCCAGCATCTAGAACAATGCCTAGAGCATAGTACGTAATTATAATGAATGGTGAGTGATATTTTACAGAAGGAAATTCCAAAGTCCTCACATAACCCATTTTCCATAACACAGAACTTATTTAAACTGGAGCCTAGAACAGTGTTTTTCACAAAAGATTTTGCTTATAGCAACCCGTGCTTTAGAACAGAATATTGTAAAGACTTCCAGATCAGTTAGATTTGAGTTTCTCAAGTAGTGACTGTGGACTCCAGTGAAACAGTAACAGGAATTCCACCAAACAAGGTTCACAAAGTGAATGGCATTGGGAAATAATACAGAATCTTCTCGCACTGGAGGATGCATCATGCACAGGAGAAGCTCTAAGAAGTCCTATCGAGAAAACAGGTGTTGAACCTGGGTTTGCTGAACTTATTTCACCAGAGACCCCATCCATTAACATCTGCATCACAAAGCACAATTGGGTAAACAGTGATCCAGCTGAAGTCTTTCCATTTACAGACACAGACAGAAAATGAGGCCCAGAAAGGTTAATTGACTCACTCAAGGTCATGCGACCATCTCCTGAATCGTAGAGCTGTGTGCTTTTCACTGCCCCTAATGTTGCCTAATGGTTCACTTAGCTATCCATTCACAGGAGGTCAGAAACTGAACACGGGCCTCAGATTCCAGTATCATTTTGACTAAATTATATATAAAAATTGATGTACCGAATAGGATTTGCTTTCAATATCACTATTCCAGAAATAGTCATTCATTCAACAAATATTTATTAAGTACGATGTGCCAGGAGCTGCACATTTTGCAGTGATCAAGATATGGCTGCACAGAAGACTGACAATAAAATTAGCCTTAGAGAGATCAAAATTGATTGAACTGTCCTTGATAAAACTGCTTCAAATCAGGGACTTGCAAGAAATTGCATATTCACATTTCATTTGCTTCCATTAATAGTGCTCATATTTAGATCTGATGGTAATAATATGCTCTCAACTGGTGTGGGTCTGGAATAAAACACTCCCCTTGACTGTGCACACTGCAGAGAGGAAAAACAAAATGATTGGAGTCAGTTGGGCTTTTCTATTGAGCACCTCGACCTACAGATTTTCCAATTTCAAGTTCATTCACATTTCATCTCTGGCTTCTACATTTTAGTTAAAAAGCATTTCTCTATTTGCTATTGTCCACTAAGGAAAATGCCTATTTAAAAATAGGTTTCTTTTTTAAAGCATCTTGATTCATACATTTCAAAGCCCTTCAGAAAACAGGATTTCTCAAAAGCCAGGTGATTCTAAAACATGCTACAGATTTCAGATGGAGAAAGATTCAAGATATTATTCTACATGATCTTTTCAATGAACTGATCGCATCTGTCTAGGAATAAGGAGAGTTGTCTTATGTTACTTCAAGAAAGATTCCAAATGAAAAAAAAATCTGGGCTTGAGAAGATCTAATGCCATGCCATTGAAGCCAGGTTTCAGCACAGACCCAACATGTGTATAAGTAATAAAAAGAAACCTGAGAAAACAGAAGCTCCTCAAGGTCCTTTGCCCTGGTGTATCTTTAAGGCCAAACTGTAAAGAGAATAAGCATGTACTTCCAGACCCAGCAAATGTCTTCTTTGCATTTTAAGGATGCACTCATCCTTTCTTCAGAAGCAATCCTGAAACCCAGTGTAGCAAAGCAAAGATAGTCACCACATAATACAAATAATCTGTGTTTATTAGATACCAGAATAAATCAGGGAGACTTCTTAAGCTATGGTAAAGAGACCCCCACCAGCACAGAGAGAAGAAATGACACAAGCACAAAGCCACGGGAATCCAGACCCAGGAAAGCTGTGCTCCCACCACATCACTGCACACACACAAAACCTGCTGTTTAAAAATCAATTCAAACACAAACAAGTGACTGAAAAAGCCATTTGTTTAAAAAGGGAGGGGAGAGCATATTTTTTAAGGACCAAGTATCATTTTTTTTTTTTTTTTTTAAGGAGCCAGCACCATACTCTCTTCTCTCACAGGATCATTGTTCCATCTCTGGTAGGCTGGGTACATTTGACTGAGTTTATTGCAACTGCTTCTGCCAATTCTTTGAACTACCAATCAATGGGGTGAGGTTTCTAAGCACACCAGCTACTACACAGAAACACATGATAAAGGGAGCAGTACTGGAAAGGCATGTATTTGCTTGTGTGTGCATGCTTGTCAATGTCTGTGTGGTTATGCAGATCCATGAGGGGGTTTCTTAATGCAGTTTAATGGAATCCATTTGGGGTGAAAGGCGTTATTTTGTCTAAAGAAATCTCCCCCTCGCAGTCCAGCTCTCAGACAGACTCTGCAACAGGGTCACCATCTGGGGATGTCTGATAGATCTGGGACATGCGATCGAAAGGACTCTCCTCCTCCTCATCGTTGTCCACCTCTTGGTCCCCGGGGGGAACGGCGTTGGGCATCATGTGGATGCAGGCAGCTGCGATTTCCTTGTGGAAGACCATGTCTTGGTTGTAGGAGATGAGCTCATTGCTGATGTTCACCGTCTCCACCGGCGTGCGGGAGCAGACGTGGCTGCACCCCAGCAGCTGGGCAAACACCTTCCAGAAGTCGGCGTTGAAGGCATAGTGACTGGGTTGAGTGAGGAGTTGGCCCAGCAGAACCAGATGAAGACATCGAATGTGGTCTCACTGACGCAGGGGAAGCCGGCCGGAGGGCCTTTGGGGTGTCCACTGCGGAAAGGGACCATGCAGTTAAGGATGAAGAAGGGCAGCCAGCAACACACGAAGACCCCCATGATCACTGACAGGGTCTTGAGAACCTTGGTCTCCTTCTTGATGGAAAACCGCAGGCTGGTGTCGGGCGTGCAGCCTGCGCTGCTCCGGCAGCTCTGCACGTGCTCTGCGGCCCTCTCCAAGGAGGAAATCCTGCAGATCTGCACCTGGGCGATGCGGTAGATGTGCGTGTAGGTCACGATCATGATGGCCATGGGGATGTAGAAGTTGATGAGCGAGGAAGAGATGGCGTAGGTTCGATTCAGGCTGGAGTCACAGTTCTCTGCCCTCACGTCAGGCTCCCAAACGGCCTCCTCCCAGGGCGTCCAGTTGGCCAGGTTGTTTGGCAGGTCCAGCCCACCTCAAGAGACCGCCTGGTCCCTGTGCCAGTTGAGCTGGACCGGAATGAAGGAGATGAGGCTGGACAAGGTCCAGGCCGGGCCGACCATGACCAAGGCCATGCGCTGGGTCATCTTGCGCTCGTAGCGGAAGGGCCTGGAGATGGCCCAGTAGCGGCCCACGCTGATGACCTGCTGACGCACAGGTTCAGGATGGAGGCGGTGGAGCACATGATGTCGAAGGCCACCCAGACGTCGCAGAACGCTTCAAAGGGCCAATAACCGGCCACCTCGGCGACTGCCTTCCAGGGCATGACCAGCAGCGCCACGAAGAGGTCTGACACAGCCAGAGACACGATGAAGACGTTGGTCATCTTGGCGCGCAGGTGGCGGCTCCGCACGATGGCTGCGGACATCAGCACGTTGCCCAGCAAGGTCCAGATGATGAGTAGGGTCAGCAGGCAGGCGGTGACCACCTGCACGGGCCCCAGTGGCGGTGCCCCCGCCGAGCCCCCCACGGCGTTCCCCTGCGCCAGCTGCTGGTATAGCGCTAACTGCCCCGGGTACGCGGTGCCGTTGCTCCTTGGCGGCAGCATTTCGGGCTGGGCCGCAGAGTCGGTTTGTGCGCGATCCCAACTACAGCCCTGCGACCCCCAGGCAGCCCCATCGGGCACCCCGAGGATGCGCCCCCTCAGCCAAGGGACCCTCGAGCCCCAGAGGGCGCTCACCATGAGCTGCGCCGGGTCCCGGAGCGCGCGGGGACTTCTCTTGCCTCCTGAAGCGCCTCTGGCTCGGTGGCCGTGGTGCGCCCCTCCAGTCTCCGCGATGGGCACAGGAAGCGGCTGGTGCCCGCTGACAGCCAGGGCTGTTCTCGGGAGTCTGCGGCGCGCCAGATGGCAGCGACAGCGGCTGTGTCTGGTTCGGAGCGAGAGAAGAGAGCAAGCCGCCACTGAGGGGCTGGGGCAGGCAGTCGCCGGCGCTGGGCTGGCACTGCGGCGCTGCCGCGGTCCCTGGCCGATCCCCGGCCCCGCGTCCCGCCCCCCGCGCCTCCGCGCTGGACTCCAGCCCCACCTGTGCCTTGGCGCCCTAGCTCACCGCGCTCAGCGCGCCAGAGTGTAGTGGTGATCCCGCAGGTCCCAGGAGCGCCCCAGCGCCAGACCCTAGCCCCGGGCCGGGGAAAATTCTTCCCGGGAAGACCGAAGGGTGCTTGGCGTAGCCCTGGAGCCCTAGCCCTAGCCACGCTTGGGGAACAAGAGGTGGGGTAGGGATGAGGACGCGAGGGCTTCCGGAGGGGGAAAGAGCATTTGAAGTGTAAAGGGGGCGGCCTTGGATTGCCCACAGACCTGAGTCCCAATCCGGACTTTATTCCTGGCTCTGCAACTTTAAGCGCCCTACATAACTTTACCTGGCCTTGGTTTCCTTCTCCATAGCGTGGGATAATGATTCCTACTCCTAGAACAGTGTCAGAACTCAGGGAAGCCGTCTAGGATGAGGTGTCCAGTAGACAGTGTCTCCTAGGAACAGGCTCCCGCTTCCCCCAGCCCCTCCCTCAACACCATGAGGCTGGGGCTTCACCTGACCTCTTGGGAGACTGTCCTTTTCCCCACCACCGCCCCCAGTCCTTCAGTGATTTTTCCTTTGGGGAATAATTTGGAATGAACCCAGAAGACAAGAGGAGGAAGAGAGCCCCCCACCCCCCCACCCCCAGAGAGTTGGAAGCCTCTTCTTTGCAGGGCACTTTTACAGTCTTTCTCTTTTTCAACCTTGAGAGGGGTGGATACATAGCTCAGTGTTGAACAGAAAAGGAACTGACGGGACCCAAAACCCAGACTGAAAAAAAAAAATGATGGAAAACAATAAAGAGGGAAAACAGTGTTCCTGAGCTCTGAGTGCACCTCCCAGCTGACAAGTTGCATTTGTGAAGTGTTTCGGCCTCTGCTGGCGTTAAGCTCAGCTGAAGGCAGCTGGGAGAGGAAGGGATGTGACAGCAGCCAGCTGCACAGCTCCGGCTGCGACCTGCTGGCCCAGACACCTGCAGCATGGTGAGGTCTAGTAACAGACTGGACTTTCTCCTCCCTTCCTAGTCTCCCCCTTCACCAAATGCACTTGCACCCTGGACCAACACCTGCAAGTGGCCCAGCTTCTCAGACTTAGGCTGCTCAACCTACACAGTCCCTTCCCCCAACCTCTTTCCCCTTCAGTGCTTTCTGCCACTGGAGAAGGCAAGACCATCTGTCCAGGTGCCTAAACCTGAAACTGAAGAGCCATCCTCACCTTCGGTCTCTCCTCATCTTCTAGGAGCTGGACCACTCCTCTGGCCATGGACATCCCTGTCCAGAATTGTGCCTCCTGCACCCTGTTTGAAGGTGGCATTCTCCTGGCCTCCAGGCTCTGCCCTGACCCTCTGTCTTCCCAGAGGCAGTGATCTTTCCTGAATGTGACTATGCTCACGTCACTCCCCTGATGAAACACCCTCAGTGTGTTTCATGATCAGCTCCCTGTGGCCCCTGTTCCTCTCCTGGAGAGGAGAGGAACTAAAAACACAAAAATACAAAAAATTAGCCGGGCGTGGTGGTGGGTGCCTGTAGTCCCAGCTACTCCAGAGGCTGAGGCAAGAGAATGGCGTGAACCTGGGAGGCAGAGCTTGCAGTGAGCCGAGATTGCGCCACTACACTCCAGCCTGGATGACAAAGCAAGACTCCGTCAAAAGAAATGAAGAAAAGAGAAGAGAAGAGACGAGACGAGGACAGAAAGAAAGACAGACCAGAAGAAAAGAAAAGAAAAGAGAAAAAGAGCATATCACCCAAATATGAGAAATTCTCCCATATATACATACTTGTATCTAGATGACTAATCTCTGGAAAGTTATAAGAAAACACTGGTTCTTTCCAAGGAAGGGATGGCCAAAAAGTAGGCTAACTTAACATTGTTCACTCTTTTTAAGACCTTTGTATTTCTTGTATCATGCACAGGTATTGCCTATTCAAAAACAAACCTACAACAGGGAAAGACTGAAAGCTTTTCTTCAGTATCTGCTACAAGGCAAGGATGCCTACTCTTAACACTTATATTCAACATAGTCCTAGCCAGAGCAATCACATAAGAAAAGGAAATAAAAGGCATCAGCAGAAAAAAGGGGGTAAAATTATCCCTGTGTGCAGATGACATGATCCTGTATGTAGAAACCCCTAAAAATTCCACAGTTACTAGAATAAATGAATTCAGTCAAGTAGCAGGATACAAAATCAATACACAAAAATCAGATGCATTTCTTTATACAAATAATGATCTGAAAAAAAATCAAGAAAACATTTCCACTTAAAATAACATCAAAAAGAATAAAACACTGAGGAACAAATTTAATGAAGGAAGTGAAAGCTTTATATACTAAACACTATAAAATACTGACAAAGTAAACTGAAGACACACAGCCGGGCATGGTGGCTCACGCCTGTAATCCCAGCACTTTGGGAGGCCAAGGCAGGTAGATCACCTGAAGTCAGGAGTTCAAGACCAGCCTGGCCAACATGGCGAAACCCTGTCTCTACTAAAAATACAAAAATTGGCCAGTCGGGCATGGTGGCAGGCACCTGTAATCCCAGCTACTTGGGGGGCTGAGGCAGCAGAATTGCTTGAACCCAGGAGGCGGTGGAGGTTGCAGTGAGCTGAGATCACACCACCGCACTTCTGCCTGGGCAACAGAGCGTGACTCTGTCTCAAAAAACAGAAAAAAACTACAGACACAAATAAATATAACGATATCCCCAAGTTTGTGGATTGGAAGAATATTGTTAAAATGTCCATACTATCCAAAGTGATCTACAGATTCAATGCAATTCCTATCAAATTTCCAAAGGCATTTTTCACAAAAATAGAAAACACAATTCTAAAATTTGTATTAAATCATAAAAGACCCTGAATAGCCAAAAGAATCTTGAGAAAGAAAAACAAAGTAGAAGGTATCACACTACCTGATTTCAACTTATATTACAAAGTGATAGTTATCAAAACATATGGTACTGGCATAAAAGCAGACACATGGATCAATGCAACTGAATACAGAGCCCAAAAATAAACCCAAACATATATTATGAGCTAATTTTTGACAAGTCCAATAAGATACAATAGGGAAAAGATGGTGTCTTCGATAAGTAGTGGTAAGAAAACTAGATATCTATATGCAAAAGAATGAAACTGGACCTGATGCCTATCTTACACATCATACATAAAAAGCAACTCAAATAGATTAAATACCTAACACCTGAAACCATAAAACTCCTAGAAGGAAATATAGGAGAAAAACTCCTTAATATCCTCCTTGACAATGATTTTTTGGATATCACACCAAAAGCTCAGGTAGCAAAAGCAAAAATAAGCAAGTGGGACTACATCAAACAAATAAGCTTCTGCATAGCAATAAAAAAAAAACAAAACGGGGTAAAAAGGTAGCACAGGGATTAGGGGAAAATATTGGCAAACCACACATCTGATAAGGGGTTAAAATCCAAAACATATAAGGAACTCACACAACTCAGTAGCAAAAAAAAAAAACCCCAAATAACTGGATTTTAAAATAGGCAAGGACCTGAATAGCCATTTTTCCAAAGTCACACAAATGGTCAAATGGTATATGAAAAGATGCTCAACATCATAATCATGAGGAAAATGAAAATCAAAACCACAATAGATATCATCTCGTGTCTCTTAGAATGACTATTAACAAAAAGTCAAAGACATAAGTGTTGGTGAGGATGTGTAGAAAATGAAACCTTTGTACATGGTTGATAGGAATGTAAATTAGTATAGCCATTATTGAAAACAGTATAGAGTTGCCTTAAAAAAAAAATACAACTACCATAAGATCCAACAGTGCCTCTGTTGGGCATATATTCAAAGGTAATAAAATCAGCATCTGAGAGAGACATCTGGGTTCCCACGTTCATGGCGGCATTACTCCCAATAGCCAAGACATGGAAACAAACTAAGTGTCCTAATGGACAATTTACTTACCCATTCAAGGACAGATGAATGGATAAAGAAATTGTGACATTTGTTTATACATATATTAAGTCCTCCCTTAATGTCATCAATAGGTTCTTGGGAACTGAGACGTTAAGCTAAATGAACATACAGCAGGTCCTCAAGTAACACTGTTTCCTTCAATCTAATTTTGGCATAATGCAAAATGAAAAAAAAATCAGTTTTGTCATACTTTTTTTCCCCTCTTAACCACAGTTTCTAAGAACTTACTGATGACAATGAGGACTTTATACAATGGAATAGTTAGCTTTAAGAAAGGAGATACTGCCATTTGTGACAACATAGATGAACCGGGAGGAAAGTATGCTAAATAAAGTAAGCCAGACACAGAAAAATACTGTATGATCTCACTTAAGAAGCAGAATGGGAGGCAGGGGGGTGAGAAGCTGAATGTATAGAGAGTAGAATGGTGGTTATCAAGAGTCTGGAGGTAGGGGATGGGTGGGATGGGCAGAAGTAGGTCGGAGGGTACAAATCTGCAGTTAGGTAAGATGAATAATTCTAGAGATCAAATTAATACACAGCATGAGAACCATAGTTAATAATATTGTGTACTGAAAATTTGCTGAAAGAGATTTTAGGTGTACATACACAGAGAGTAACTGTGGAAGGTGAAGGATACAGACATTTGTTTGACCATAGTAATCATTTCACTGTGTATACAAAGCATGTTGTATACCTCAGATATGTATAATAAAAATAAATGAAAAAAAAAACAACAAAAAACTGTATCCTACCTGCCAAAAACAGTTTCAAATGCATTATGTCTTTGGATTTAGCATGGAATTCACCTTTGCAGGCCCACTTACCTACAACATTATAAATATACCAGGTGATTCATTGTACTATTCACAGTAAAAGATTGAAAGAAAGCCAGGAGCGGTGGCTCACGCCTGTAATCCCAACACTTTGGGAGGCCGAGGCGGGCAGATCATGAGGTCAGGAGATCGAGACCATCCTGACTAACATGGTGAAACCCCGTCTCTACTAAAAATACAAAAAAATTAGCCGGGCGTGGTGGCGGGCACCTGTAGTCCCAGCTACTCGGGAGGCCGAGGCAGGAGAATGGCGTGAACCCAGGAGGCGGAGCTTGCAGTGAGCGAAGATCATGCCACTGCACTCCAGCCTGGGCGACAGAGCGAGACTCTGTCTCAAAAAAAAAAAAAAAAAAAAAAAAAAAAAGATTGAAAGAAACCCAAAGGTCTATCAACAGGGGAAAGAACAGGTAAATTAAATTGCTTATATTTCCATACAAAGGAATATTTGCAGCCATAAAAAAATGAAGGACAGTAAAAAGTAGGAAGACAAAAGGAACAAAATATATATATACACACACACACACACACACACACACACTATATATATAAACACACATTTCCTTGTACATGCATAAAACACATCTGGAAAGTTACACGAGAAACCTCTGAGGTTTCTGGAGATGCAAACTGGGGGCATGAAGGCAGGGGAAAGGGAAAGACTTCACTGTTTACCTTTTTATTATTTTCCAATTTTAAATCATTTGAATGTATAACTTGTCTAAAAATCAAATTTTAAAAGTTGAGGGAATTAACATTACAGAAAGTAACAAACCTCAAGGAAGCAGCCACCTTCACCAGATGGACAGTCTACCTCACTCTTCCCACGCTCCAGTAGTTACTGAATGCCAGTCCCCTCCCTCCATTCAGTCTGCCCCACCTGCTGGCCTTCTAGAGCCTCAGAGCAGTCCTATTCCCACACCTCCAAACACATCCATACACTGTGATGGTCGATCTGGGACCACCAGTTGAGAGGAAATGTGTTGTGTTTCCACTCTTCAGACAAACAGAGTGTTATTTTATTGAGGTTTGGGATTTTTTCTTGCATTAACAGGGTTTCTAGATCCCAGTAGGTGAATGAGAAAGAAGTATGCTTTTATTGTATAAGGAATTTGTTTCTGATACACCAAAGTGATGATGTATGACTTTTCTTAAAGAAGTGGTTATTAGAAGAGTTAAAAATCAATAGAAACAAAAAGTCATAGGTATTGTTCCAATACTCCAGGAACATCACAATTTGGATTCTGTAGATGTGTGTAATATAATGTGTAATATTACATTCTGACAACCTCAAGTTGAAAACTGCACAGCTGAAGATCACTTATAGTCAATAACACTTTTCAAACTTTAATTTTAAATTCATTAAGTCTCTCCCTAATGTATCGTACTTTTTAATAAAGGAAACTGTCAGATACGCTATAATACAGAGGAAAACGTTTATATACTCTTTCATTATAATTTTTCCACAACTTCCAAAATGAAGAAAAAGACATGGAAACATTAAGTTCAGAGAATAATTGTGGCAGGCAATTCCCTCCTCCTGAAAGTTCAATTACCCCAACACAGGCAAAATTTCTTACTAACTCAAAAGGAACTGAATTCACATATAAAGACAAACGTGGGATTCTGTTGAGTTCTGTTGGACACAGAACACAATTGCTCAAGCACTGGTTGGGCACCTGTATTCTAATAGCTCACGATTACTGAGCACTCCATGTCTGGGAAGAGCCAGTGCTGGGTGCCTGACACGCATCCTTGCACCTCATCAGCACAACTATCCCATGGGCTCATCCTGGTTCACCTATTTTATAAAAGAGAACACTAACATCAGAGAAGTTAAAAAATTTGCCTAAAAACATCCAGAGTAGGTTTCATCGTTGCCCACTACTTTATAATGCTTTCCCAAGGGTACTGAGACGTTATCAAAACATGTTAGTGAAACAGTCTAAAACATCACAAATTTTAGGTTTAATACAAAATACCCAGAAAAGGACAGCGTTATTAGAAATCTCAGCATAATGTAATAATAAGAACTTATGATGATTGTATTCTTTTCCTATTTTCTCTCCCGTACAGGCATATGAAATACCTTAAAACTTATTTTAGTGGTGTGTGTGTACATGTAGTTTCAGGATAATATAGTAATCTAAAACATTTTTAATATGGCAAAGTGTGGCAATACTAAATTTTTAAAAAGGATTTTTATTTAGCAAACAGAAAGCAAAAATGTTGTCCAAGTAACATGCATTTATTTTATCCCTAGGAATGTACCTTTCCTTCTGCAAAGGATGTGAGATCCTGGCATGTAAATGAACATGAGGGACTAGTCATGAAAATACTGTATATTCAATTCCTTAAATTCTAAAATTGTCTTAGCATTTAACATCTAACACACTAAACAATCTTTTTTCATATTCAATAAAAATAAAGACAAATTCAGTAAATTCAGATGGGCTATTTTATCACATAAATTTTAAAAAAGCAAGGGTAATTTTTCAACTGATTTTCTTTTACCGTGATACGAGTCAATGAGAAAATATGAAATTGAAACATATCACCATTTCTCAGTGTTTACAAGTGGTAAGTCACAAGGAAAACCTTCCAAGATCTTCTGTGTTGTTTTTAAAAGGTATTATAATCACATAATTTGGGAAACAATGTGTACTATTATCAAGAAACCTTTCATATTTTGTGAAATGGAGCACTTCCCAAATTTAAGAGACTATGGAAACCTTTTTCAGACATTTTTTAACATCCTCAGAAATGGAAATTCTTGTTAATGCTGATCTGATCAATTCCTCCAAGTATATGGACTACTTCTTTGCAAACTCCAAGCCCCCAAATCAAATTACCTGTTCAACTGTACCTGAAAATCAGTTACATACAAACATCAGAAAGTGTTTCTCCCAGCAACATAGACCCAAAACATACTACAAAACAAAAATTATCAAGAACATACAAAAGACATATCTTTTCATGTATTTATTTATTTTTTGAGATGGAGTCTCACTCTGTCACCAGGCTGGAGTGCAATGGCTCGATCTTGGCTCACTGCAACCTCTGCCTCCTGGGTTCAAGCAATCCTCTGCCTCTGCCTCCCAAATAGCTGGGATTACAGGTGCCTGCCACCACGCCCAGCTAATTTTTGTATTTTTAGTAAAGACGAGGTTTCACCACGTTGGCTAGGATGGTCTTGATCTCCTGACCTCAGGTGATCCACCCGCCTTGGCCTCCCAAAGTGCTGGGATTACAGGCATGAGCCACCGAGCCCGGCCACAAAAGACATACCTTTTCAAAGCCACAATTACCTCTCACCTGGACCATTGTTTCTCACTGATCTACCTGTCATAACTCTTGCACCTAATCATCTACTTATATCATAGGAGAGTGTTCCTCTTAAAATATAAATAAGATCATGGTGTTCTTCTTTTCAGGAACATTCAATGGCCTCCCATTCCATTGCTATTAAGCACAAACTACTGACACATCACCTTATGGTTGTGTGAGATATACTGAGCCGTCCTTCTTGTCCTCACATCTCTAACCTTCTCACCTTCTGACTGTCCCCTCTGCTCACTCTGTTGGTCTCCACAACACTCTTCAAACATGCTCAGCACACTCTCACCCAGAGCCTTTACACTGGCTTCCTCACTGTCTGGGGTGCTCTTCTCTCAGGTAATCAAGTGGCTCACTCACTCACCTCTTTAAAATCTGTGCTCAAATACTGCTTTCTGTTCATATGGACCCTAAACACCTGTCTGTACTTCCAATTCCTTTTTTTCTTTTTTGGAGATGGAGTCTTGCTCTGTTACCCACGCTGGAGTGCGGTGGTGCAATCTCGGCTCACTGTAACCTCCGCCTCCCAGGTTCAAGCAATTCTCCTGCCTTGGCCTCCCAAGTAGCTGGGATTAGAGGTGCATGCCACTGAGCCCGGCTAATTTTTGTATTTTTAGCAGAGAACAGGTTTCACCATGTTGGCCAGTCTGGTCTCGAACTCCTGACCTCAAGTGATCTACCTACCTCGGCCTCCCAAAGTGCTGAGATTACAGGCATAAGCCACTGTGCCTGGCCAGGCAATTCCTCTTTATCAAACTTTATTTTTACCATGGAACTTGCCAAACACATTATAATTAACTGATTTTTTTTAAGAGTTGAGTTACCTAACATTAAAATATAAACTCTATGCAGAGAATTCTACCTGCTTTGTACACTGATATGATTTCCAACATCTGACATACAGTAGGTATTCAATAAATTCTATTGTCTAAAAGCCGGCTGCAGTGGCGCATGCCTATAGTACCTGCTACTTGAGAGGCTGAGGCAGGAGGATCACTTGAGCCCAGGAGCTGGAAACCAGCCTGGGCAATGTAACAAGACACTGCCCCTTAAAAAAAAAAAAAAAAAAAAAAACTATGAAATAAAATGTAATGGAACAGAAATAATTATCACTTCACTTCTGAATCAGTTGAAAATAAATAACTGCCCCAAAAATGAGGAAACCTACAGTAATCCTCTTTAATTCATATTGGATTTTAGGTTACTATTAAAATGTTTTGCTATCTCAAGAATTCAGCAGGCTGAGCAGAGCAGATGGCTTGAGCCCAGGAGTTCAAGACCAGTCTTGGCAAAATGGCAAAACCCCATCTCTACAAAAAAATACAAAAATTAGCCAGGCGTGGTGGCCCACATCCATGGTCCCAGCTACTCAGGAGGCTGAGGTAGGAGGGTCGCATGAACCCAGTAGGCAGAGGTTGTAGTAAGCCAAGATCATGCCACTGCACTCTAACCTGGGCAACAGAGCAAGACCCTGTCTCCCAACCAAAAAAAAAAAAAAAAGAATTCAGCTAGAAAAACCTTATATTTACTTTGATTAAGAAAATGTTTATAAACCAATACTTTATGATGCACACTGGTGAATATGAAGTTATACCTGAAGTAATATTAAATGACAGCTTTTCCATTTCTAGAATATATGCCTCAACTACCTTAACTTAAACATGGTATTATCCAAACTCACAGTATCTGAGAAGGTTTGTGTCGTTATCTAGCAAACTAAAGTCAAGCCCTCTGTATTTCCCCACCTGTGATCTTCAAAGATATGGTGCTCCTTGAGATTTGTGTAAGGTAGGTCTGTTCTAAAATGTGTGAAAGGAAGAGAACCCGAAAAGGCAAGGTCTAAGAAGATCACTCATTTGGAGATGGCAAGGGTCACATCGGGGTTATCTAAGTCAGTGTGATTTACCCCTTGGTAAATCATACACATATTTCAAAAGTTACTTTATATGCTGTAATTCTTGCACACATATTTCACGGAAAATAAATTAGTATTACCTCGACTATCATCCATATCACCATCCCTTGAATGTTCTGATTGGATGTCTGGAGGGGTCTGAAGGACGGCCACGCTATTCTGATTTATAATCTTCAATCTCAGTTTTGGTTTTGACAGTTTTCTTCTTGGAACTGTAACTGTGAGGCTCTGTAACTGAGTCATCCCTGATTCAGTCAAACACACACCATCCTGGGTATAAGTCTTGGGTGGGTCTAAAATTACAAAATCCCAAGAATACAAATTTAAACTTTCATTTTAAATTTGACTGATTACTGTTCCAAAATACCCATGTCAAGGGAATGTGACTGTAGTTCTAGAAAGTAATTACGTATCTATGAAATGCATGAATAATTAATTTCATGATACCCAATAAAAACTAGGAACAATAGGTCAAACTTCCTTGGATTATAGGCAGAAAAGTTACATGTTTTTTAAAAATGGTCTTCCTGGGCCCGTTGCGGGGGCTCATGCCTGTAATCCCAGCACTCTGGGAGGCCGAGGCGGCAGGCAGATCACGAGGTCAGGAGATTGAGACCATCCTGGCAAACACAGTGAAACCCTTTCTCTTCTAAAAATACAAAAAATTAGCCTGGCATGGTGGCGGGCACCTATAATCCCAGCTATGCGTGAGGCTGAGGCAGGAGAATCGCTTGAACCCAGGAGGCAGAGGTTGCAGTGAGCCGAGATCGTGCCACTGTACTCCAGCCTGGGCAACAGGGCGAGACTCCATCTCAAAAAAGTCTTCCTGGCATTTCTATTTTCATGTCCCAATAAAAACCGTTAGAAGCACTGCAAATAAATTCAATGCTCAGCTAATCCACTATGAGCTTTTTCCTGGAAAAGATCAAAAGGCAGGGATCTATTTACGCAAGAGAAGAGAGAATACTCCAGAAGCTCATCTGGAAAAATCAGATTATCAACATAATTACTAATAGGGAGAAGTAATAAATAAGTACAAATCCTGCAGATTTAATTTTAAATGTACAAAACTGTTGTTCCTTAGAACAATTTCTGTACTATCCAAATGTTTTTGTATCAGGTGCTATTAAATACAAGTATTCAAAAGAATGACTGTTTAATAAGAATATCATATTAATCACCATACTAGGCTTATTAATTATTTTAAAAAATTAAGAGATTGAATTAATTCTAAAAGAAATCTGCTTGCTAACTAGGCCGTATTTTCTGCTAACTGATAATTAAGCACAGTAATATATCAATGAAACCAAAGCAAGTATGGCATTAACGGTTATTCTAAGAGCTGTTATTTTTGTTGCCAACTTGCTGAAATTTATAGGAATACTGCCCCAGTAAAGCTGGATGACATTTTATATATCATTGTGGAAATGATTACCAACATTACGGAATTTGGATAGAACAACCATATGATTGAAGCAGATTTTACAAGTGGTAAGCCAATTATGTAAAAATTAAGCAAAGTAAATTAATTAAATTAAGTAAAGCATTCCAAATTTTAACTAGCTCTTTTACTTTTGTGACAATTTGTGCTACAAGTGAAGATCTACAGCAGTCTGAGGAAGGCACTGAAATGAAAAAAAAAATCCAGGTAATTCTTTTCAGAAAAGGTAAAGTGTATTTACATACTTATATATGATTAAAATTTCTGTTTCTATACTCATTTTATTAAAATAAATGTTTGAACACTAAAGTTAAAAGCACTTTTTAAAGCAACAACAAAACAAGAAGTGATGAAGGAAATACTCAAGTCATGGAGGAAAACTTGGCTAAGAAAGAATCAACACATTGGATTTTAACATATTGTCAATAACTACAAGATCATGTTCCTTGGAAGCAAAATTATAGTTTACATCTAAAGTATATGCTTTTTACTGTTTCATGTAAATTGTTTTATAACAAGTTGTGATAAGTCATGTATAACCAACAATAATATTTTTCATAAAATACTTGTCAAAGTAAGTTTCACAAAGACAAAATAGAGTGGAGCTAAGCTAATTCATTGGTTATGGACAGTAAGGTGCAAGTGAGTGGTACAAGAGTGCAGACTCACAGTTTAAATTACTCTCTTACCATTAGACGCAGGCATATAGGGTCTGCACATGTTACAATCAAAACCAATGTCTGCTACATTTTCCACTTCTTCCTCAGTATTTAAGTTCTGACGAACTGCATGCATCCATCTAAAAAGACCATATTTGTACATTTTTAAAAAAAATGGAATATACTGAGAACTGCTACCTTTTAAAACCTGTAACACTGAGTCATCAAACTTAAAAGCCCTAAGCCTCACATGCTCCTCCTACCTTGCCCTTTTCTCCTAACTATCCCTATTAACAGAAAAACTTTCATAGAGCTAAGGAGGAAATAAAAAGGAATGAGAACAACTATTAGAGAGGAAGCAAAGCACATTACAAAAGGAAGCTAATTATTTTATCATCATATATTAAATATTTCAAAGACAGCAAGGAAGCTAGTTAGGGCAAACACAAAGGTATTCAGAAAACTGCAAATGGCAGTGCTAGCATATATGGGCTCCAGGCAATGCATCTAACTTGAAGTAGACATATATCATGGAAAGCGATGTTGAATGGTAATTGGGAAATAAAGTAAAAAGTTGTCTTGCAATGGAACAGATAATTAGTAGCCAGAGTCCCAAGAATACTGTACTACTGATAAAATAGTACTATCAATATATGTTCACTGCTTAACTTCTAAAGAGTACAACAATATACCAATGAAAGCAAGGAAACATTCTTGATTTTGAAATTCTACATAATTACGTAGGGAGGGCAGAAGGTGCTATCTAATACCTAGATATCTAGTATCTAGAGCTTTAAGAGAAAGTGGTTTAAGGAGAACAGAAAGTGTTAGATATTTTTTATAATCTATTAAAAGATTCAGAAACCCTTCATAAGAAACAGCATAGATGAAGGCAATAATTCTCCATCTAATTTCAAGGGATTCCTAAACCCTCAAAAAGGCCTAAATTAAAAATCTTCAGTCTTGGGTGGACACAGTGGCTCACGCCTATAATCATAAAACTTTGGGAGGCTGAGGCGGGCGGATCACAAGGTCAAAAGATGGAGACCATCCTGGCCAACATGGTGAAACCCTGTCTCTACTAAAAATACAAAAATTAGCTGGGCGTGGTGGCATGCACCTGTAGTCCCTGCTACTCTGGAGGCCGAGGCAAGAGAATCGCTTGAACCCAGGAGGCAGAGGTGGAGTTTGCAGTGAGCCGAGGTAGCGCCGCTGCACTCCAGCCTGGCGACAGAACAAGACTCTGTCTCTAAATTTAAAAACAAAACAAAACAAAACAAAACAAAACTTTAGTCTGGAGTTGAGAATTCAAAACAGGAAATCAATTCTGTAAGTTTCTAGGTGACCAAAAATCTACAAGGCAAAAAGCTCTGTACCTAAAACTTGTGATTAAGGAAAAGCTATTTTCCATTTTTTTTTTTTTTGCTACATTTCAAAGAGAAAAGCTTTAAAAAGATGAAAAAATAGCACAATACCTATCACATTGTCTTCATTGCAGAATAAGATCTTCTTCTCTATAGTTTCAATAGCAGACTGGACAGGAAGATAAACTTGCACAAGGAGCGCACTGTGTGTAATTGTTCTGCCATTCACATCTTAGACCTGCAGATGTCGCTCCACAGTGTCTGCATCAAACACACCTGAAATCCAAATCCCCCCGAAAAGTCTCAATTTTATTTTCTTAGTTATTCAGTTACTGTAATTCAGGAAGCTACATACGAACATAATGGGGCAAATGATTTAATGTGTATGTGAAAATTTTTCTGATTAGTGGTATCTATCATAGAATATGTGTATTATTCAATTAAATAGGTATGGCTAAAACTATTTTTAAAACTAGTTTTAAAAACTAAAGTGGTATGAGAAAGCTCTGAACTTGAAAGACTAACAAGGCAAACAAACCCTAGAGAACCATTTGCACTTCCAGCCTCCTTTGGGAACTGTCTGCAATGGAGGGTCTAGGCAGTAGGTGTGATAAATTATGTCACAATCATCACACAGCAGGAGTCTTCCTGGGTCAGTTGCCTTCCCACAGGCCTCACACACAGTGCACTCAAGACACCTCCAACCTTTGCTAAGAACCACTTTAGTGATCTGTAAAAGAAACAACCAATCCATGTGATTTATGCATTAACCTAACATAATCAAATATACTATATAAATTAATATGGTGCTTATGTACCTAGAAGCAGAAAGGGGCAATCAACTAACATTTATTGAGCACCTACGGAGGCCCAATACTGGGTTGGGCATGTTCATACACGCTTTTAGGAGCCTACTGAGCAGAATAATAGAAAATGGCACATATTTTAATGCCTTTTTAAAGTCCACATAATTACCTTATGCTGTACATTTAATGTCCACTGTATTTATAGATATAGTGACCAGATTTTAAAGAAATCAAGTAAGCTTCACTATTATTGATACATAATTTGAAAATACATCAACAAAATCTCCATCTGCATTTCCATGCTTAGAATCAATAGAAAAAATACCAAAAAATTAATGTAAAGCATGAGTTCTTAGGGACATTTTATGATCTTAGAAGATTTCTATTTAGACTATGAAGCTAGGAATTCTGAAGTTCACATTCACTCCTCTGTTTATTCTCCCCTCTCTCAAGGGTATAAGTTAGCAGAATATTTGGGAATTTCCAAATCCCTAACAAACTCCTGAAGGAAGCCACACCATGTAATATTAAGATTGCAGAACTTCTTAAAGATCTCAAAAGACTAGGATCCTCAGACAGAACCAATCAAGTGCCCATATTATAATGAAACAGCAAGTAATGAGGGTACAGAATAAAAATTCAGATCATGAGGTACATGGAAGCCTAAAAGCTACCAGAGAAGAAAATAAAAGAGTTAAATTCAAAGGAACACCCATCAGAATGGCACAAAACTTCCCAACTCCAGATGCTAGAAGAGTATAATTTTCCAATTCTACAGGAAAATACTTTTCAAAGTACAATTCTCAACCTAGCTACACAAGCAACTATGTGTGAAGACAGAATACGTTGTAGACACAGGAAGACTCAAAATTCAGCTCCTTCATTCTCCTTCTAATAAAGTTACTTAGAGATATGCGGAACAGAATGAGGATGTATTACAAAGAAAAGGAAGACTTGGGATCTATAAATCAACAGATCCGACAAAGGACATCAGGCCAGGGAAGTTTAAGGATGAGAACAACACACCCAGAAGCCACTGGCACATATCAGAGCAGGAGAAGGGAATGTCTAGAAAGAGGGTAGGACTTCTCCCAGAAAAAAACAGTACTTTAAAAAATAATCTTATATGATAGTTCTATAGTAGGCAAAAACAAAGAACGAATGGAGAGTCACTATTACTTTCTTGTTATTAAAAACTCCATGAAAGACAAAAGAAACTCATAGTATACTGTTTAGATCTGCAGTGAACATTTACTGAGTCATAACCAACACCTTATTAATTGAACTAAACATAGTAATACAACTATATTGGGAGAAGGAAGGAGGTGTATTTTAAGACCTAAATCAGAATTTATTTATTCATAGCAGAAAGTCAACAAAATCTAGCATTGATAAAGCAGCAAACCAGTTGATTATTTAGAGCTATAGCATTGACCACAAGAAAAAAGACCTGAAAAGATTAAAAGTGATTCCCTCAGATGTGGAGGTAGAGTAAGACAAGAGTTGGTTGTTCATTACAAGGCCTTTTTTTTTTTTTTTTGAGATGGAGTCTTGCTCTGTTGCCTGGGCTGGAGTGCAGTGGTGTGATCTCAGCTCACTGCAACCTCCGGCTCCCATGTTCAAATAATTCTCCTGGCTCAGCCTCCTGAGTAGCTAGGACTAGAGGAATGAGCCACCACACTTGGCTAATTTTTGTATTTTTAGTAGAGATGGGGTTTTACTGTGTTGGCCAGGCTGGCTTGAACTCCTGCCCTCAAGTGATCCACCTGCCTCGGCCTCCCAAAGTGCTGGGATGACAGGTGTGAGGCACCACACCTGGCCCATTACGAGGCTTTTAATGTCATTTGATTTTTAAACATGTATATTTATTATTTTGATTAGCTTATTGATTTTTAAGAATTTGTCTTAGATTACCAAGTTAGTATATTATTTGCCCAAATGAAGGAAATGGCCTGGGGTAAGATCAGGGTGGCTTAGAGCAGTAGCCAGCAAACATTTCCAATAAAGGGCCAGAGAGTAAACAGAAAGTTTTGAGGGCCATATGATCTGTTGCAACTTTATAAAAACTCTGCCAGTGTAATGCAAAAACCGCTACAAATATATGTAAACAAAAGAACTTGGCCATATTTCAATAAAAGTTTATTTGCAAACACAGGAAATGGGCCAGATTTAGTCTATGGGCCAGTCTGCCTGACCCTGGCTTAAACAATGACCTGAAGACAAAGTGGCAGACAGATCTGAGGTGTTTAGTGGCAGCATTTTTAAAATATTTATCTTCATTCCTACTAAGTTTTCTTCACAGATACCTGTGGTCCCTTTTACAACCAAACTCTCAAGTTTCTCCGCTTATATTCACTCTTCAAAACACTACAGTCTGGTCTCTACACCCACATCCACTCATAACTGCTTAAGCCAGGCTTGTCAATACCTTCTTATTCTCAAATCTAATGGAAACATTAGTGTTTGTGTTTCTTGACTTCTAGTACTTCAACACTTCAACAATTTCTCCATCTTTGAAATTTCCTTTTAACTTAGCTACTGGGGTTGTACTATCATTTTTTTCTTCTGTTGAACCAGTTTAGCCTTAGTTTTAAAAGTTTTTTCAAATAAGATGTCATCCAGGATTCCATCCATGGTACCATGTCCAAAGTTGTTACAGATATGTTTTATAATCTAATACGGATACATGCTTCAACGATAATGGAGTATATGGGACCAGCCTGTTTTCCCATAAGATAGTAGAAAATTGGACAAAGTGTGTGAAACAACTGTTTTCAGATATTGGACAACACATAGTAAAGGAGACAGTGGTCTCTGAGAGGAAGGAAACACTCAGGGAGTCCTATGATATTCTGCCTAGAAACATTTTCCAGAACGCTGCCCAGGGAGGGAGAACCTCAGCAGAGTACAATCAATGGCCTCGCTGAGGTTAGGGAAGGTGAGGCAGTGGAATTTGCAGGACACACTACTCAAAATGAAGAAGCAATAAGGACTAAGAGCTCCAGAAATCTACAAAGGATCCCCTGAAGTCTTTGGTGGAACACCAAGCCGTACTTCTAGAAGCCCAAAGACCCACAACCAGGGGAAAGTACATCTACTGGGAATTTGTAAGCTGCACAATTACCAGAGCTTGCAAAAGGCTCAAAGACAAGTGAAGCACAACCAGTCAGAGTACAAAGACACTGGTGAACAGGGGGTAGAATTCAGTAGTGATCCCAGAAAGGCCAAGTCTTAAGTATAGGGTTAAACTAATGCTAGGACTGCAGCTACCAAAATGTGGACTAGGGAACCCCAGTGGGTCTGTAAAGTTAAAACAAGTTTAAATAATACTAAGATTTAATTTGCCTTTTTTCACTTTAATTTATTCACAATTATACAGTGGTGTTTATAGAAGCTACATGTTGTATCATAATATTACATTGACATTGTACAGGTTGTGCTTCTGTAGTCCTGTGTTACAAAATGTTCCTAGTTTTAATTTCTAAAATGCTGAATAGTCCATAGTTAAAATCCTCATGAACAAAAACTATGGCGTCCCCAGTAATTTTAAAGAGTGTTAAGGTTCTAAAACCATAAAGTTTGAAAATATCCACCTTAGAGTGAAGGCTTTCTAGACTTGCCCCAGCAAGCTTAAAAAGAAGCTTCAAAGGTATCAAACTTATCCACAAACAATTGCCTCCTGCAATAAAAATGCAAGCTGAGCCAATTCACATATCCCTAGTATATTTCTAGATACTGCTGTATTTCTCAATGAGACTGCAGTATTATATACTGTCCGAAACAGTGTCATGTAAAAGGAACCACACATAATTTTTAAAAACAGGAATAACTAGGTGTCTGATAGTACACTAATTGTCCAATCTTAACTTATGTAAGTCGTACTCATCTGTAAAATGGGAATTCGGTAATTGTTGGATGGGTTAAAAGAAATACATTACTATCTTGGAAGGGATCTTATTCAATTTCCTTAGGTCCAAAACATTAAGCATTCTAAAAAACAAAATCTAATGATAGCAGCTACTTTTATACAGAATATAAAGTACAAAGAAGAAAAGAAACATGTTTTATGCATATATAACTCCATTTTTAATTGGCTTTATATACTCTGTGTTTTTCAGTCACATACCATGAGCAACTAATTTTAAAAAACTACATAAATTAACCGTACTAGTCTTCTATTTTGGATAGTATTAATTACAATCTTTCATTTTGATTCCTAAATTCACAAAAACCTGTATTACCCTATAAAATAAATACTAGTGTAGTTATCAACAAAGAATTCTGAAGGAGATAATGTTGATTTGCTTACTATACTGACATTTTACTGACAATGATATAACAGTGATGTCTGAAGGGCGGGGGAGAATGGTATAAAAATCACTCATGGTTCACAACCTATTATTGAAACTGAGGTTAGTATTTATATTACATGGTATGGCAATACTAGAAAAGATTTCCTTGTGGAGTATACAGTTTAAGACCTCTGCTGTACAGCTATACCTCCATGCTTGCTTCCAGTGGCCATGACACTTTATTCAAATATGTAAGTTTTATTAAGACTGAGTTCTTAAAAAGAAAAAACCAAGAACCTTAGATACAACTAGTGAAGTATTGAGACCTGTCCATATTTAAAACCAAGCACACGATACCACTTAAAAGCTTCCCCAGAAAGCCTCTATCCTGAAATGCTTGAAAGTGAGCAGTGCTGACTCTCGATTATTACCGATTGCATTAAATATGACACTTGTTTTCTTTCTTTTGGCTATAAGGAGAAAATGTCATTTTGTATATGAGTGAGCACAGAGGAGAGAGAATGTGAGAAAGAACAGAATGGGCTAATAATTTTTTACTAAATACTCCAGTTCTCAGCTTTATAAATCAACAGACAAAATGAATCAGCTAAACCTAAAATCTTTGTGAATAGTATAAATTGTCTTTTAAATTAAATGCATATATTTTTATGTTTTACTTTTTCAAGACAAAAGCAGGATATTAGTACAATATAAGATTTATAGAGGAGCAAATTTCTTGAGATAGGAAACCCTTAAAAGCAGTATTTAAAGTACTTAAATACTGTCACATATGTTTAATAATCATAATACTTAATTGTGAGAACTGGGAGCTCATGTTACTACTAAAACCAAATACAAATTCAATACATATTTGTTAACTCAGTTTAAGGATGTTTACCTTAATACTGACACAGTATGGATGGTAACACTGACCACACTGAGAACAGGCAAGTAATCTTCCTTCTGCTCCTTGGCCAAAACTGCCACAAACTACACATATATCCTGAAGTTAAGAAAACAGAACATATTTTAAATGGAGACTAAGCTAAAAACCTACAAATTTTACTTTAAAAATACCTTCTTAACTAATATAGCTCTATAGCTAAATATTGGATCACTTCTGTGTATATGAGATAAAGCAGAAATGTGCAAGGAGGAATTCAATGAGGAAGACAGTAAATTGTCAAGTTCAAACCTGATTCAAAGTGAACTTGTCACTGCTAGAAAACAACACAACCATATCGAGCACAGAGTTTTCTTCATCATCCTTATTTGATGAAATATCTGCAGTAGACACCTATAAAAAGCAAAATACACAAAATACGAAGTTATATTTTTCACTTGTTTTGCACTTAACTGGAAAGCTTCAGAAAATTCATAATCAAAACATATATTTTTGCTAAGGTCTAGAATAACAATTCCAAATATTAATGCTAAGATACTACAGCAAAATGGAGTCATGACATTTTATTATTCAACTCATTCTCTCTTTAGAGGTAGAATTCCTTTAGACCAAGAAGTAATGAGAAAATATAATAAACCTGTCTTAGTAAGACTTGATTATGCAGAATTCTAATCAAGAAACTATAAATGATAATATTATAGGTATGTACACACACAAATCTATCACTATTTTAATGACACACACTTGGGATCTGCAATGTAGTTAGTCTGAACTGAGATGTCCTGCAAACATAAAATACAGCACATAATTACATATTACATGTTGAAATGGTAATATTTTAGATATATCGGTCAAAATGGAAGGCATTAAAATTAATTTCGCCTGTTCACTATAACCTCTATTTTGTTTCGAGAGGAGTTTCACTCTTGTTGACCAGGCTGGAGTGTAATGGCGCGATCTCGGCTCGTTGCAACCTCTGCCTCCTGGTTCAAGCTGTTCTCCCTGACTCAGCCTCCCAAGTAGCTGGGATTACAGTTGTCCACCACCACGCCCAGCTAATTTCTGTATTTTTAGTAGAGACGGGGTTTCACCATATTGGTCAGGCTGGTCTCTTAACTCCTGACCTCAAATGATCCACTGCACCCAGCTCACTGTAACTTTTTAATGTGGCTACTAGGAAGTTTTAAATTGCATATGTGGTTCTCATTATATTTCTATTAGCACCGCTTTAGAATATTATTTTGAATAACATCCAAATTTCAGTATCAGCCAAATGATTATCAACCAATATTGTTCAGTCTGGACTTAGTTCTATTTGACTAAATCAACTAAGTAGCCACTGGTTTGTTAATAATTTCTAGAGTGATATGAAACAAAATAAAGCTCTGAACTAGAAGTTGTAGAAGAAGACAAGGAGGGCACTGCCAAAATCATAAAATACAATCCTCTTTCTTTAAAAAGCTTACAACCGAAGCCTGGAAAGACAGAGTTGAAACACAACAGGTTATGTTCAAGGTCAAAACATAAAACGACTGAATTACTTTTCTTGAGGAACAACTGAAAGATTAACCAGCTGGGTGTGGTGGCTCATGCCTATAATCTTAGCACTTTGGGAGGCTAAAGTGTGTGGATCGCTTGAGCTCAGGAGTTCGAGACCAGCCTGGGCAACATGGTGAAATCCTGTCTCTACCAAAAATACAAAAAACAGCCGAGCGTGGTGGCACACGCCTGTAGTCTCAGCTACTCAGGAGGCTGAGGCAGGAGAATCACTTGAACCCAGGAGGCAGAGGTTACAGTGAGCCAAGATTACGCCACTGCACTCCAGCCTGGGTGACAGAGGGAGACCCTGTCTCAAAAAAAAAAAAAAAAAAAAAAAAAAAAAAAAAGAGGAAGGAAGGAAGGTTGGTTGGTTAACTAAATAGAAGGACTATATCTCAGTATTTTTCAATACAAATACATTTAAAAGCAGGTTTTTTTTGTTTGTTTTTTTGTTTGTTTGTTTTTGAGATGGAGTCTTGCTATGTCACCCAGGCTGGAGTGCAGTGGCACAATCTCAGCTCACTGCAAGCTCTGTCTCCCAGGTTCACGGCATTCTCCTGCCTCAGCCTCCCGAGTAGCTGGGACTTACAGGCGCCTGCCACCATGCCCAGCTAATTTTTTGTATTTTTAGTAGAGATGGGGTTTCACCATGTTAGCCAGGATGGTCTCGATCTCCAGACCTCACGATCCACCCACCTCGGCCTCCCGAAGTGCTGGGATTACAGGCATGAGCCACCGTGCCCAGCCTAAAAGCAGTTTTAATGGATAGTACTAATGCTTTATAAGAGCAATTTATAGTCATATGAACCCTAATGACTACAAGTGTTAATAATGCCAATATTCATCATTAGGAAGTAAGTAAAGCCATGACAAATCCAAACATTAGAAAATTACGCAACATTTTAAAAGTAGGGAGGTAGAAACGTGTATAGACTGCCATGAAAGAAATTATCAAAAGACGTTGTTGATGAAAAAATAAATTGCAGAACAGTATTTGAGGTATAGCACTATAATATAAAAACATGCAAAGTCATTATATGTAGTCTATGGGCACATATAATAGGTTGAATCATAAGAAATTGCTGCTTTTCATCAGTTCAGAAATAATATTGGCAATTTCATATGGATCAACCTAATATATAAATATACCAAACTGGTAACAGGGAAATAAGGAGGACTGAGGAGTTAGTAATGGTAAATTCTGATCTACCTATAACGCTTTAATTTTTTTAATAGAGAAAATGTATTGATGTGTTATATGCATAGCATTAACAAAATTAGCTTTCTAAGATTTTAGAGAATCATCCAAGATGATTCACAAAAGTAGAATCATCATCACCAGTAAGAAACTAAGTGACTACTAAAAGTAATCATTAATTCAGTCATAGGACTAATGATGCATTGACAAGGCTATTGAGATATATAATTATGGAAATGGCTAAAATAGAGATAAAGTATCTATTTCTACCTCCCAACCACTAACAGAAAATTCAACACATTATACACACTGAGCAGCTCAAAGAAATTGTAAAGATCCATTATTATTTTTAAAAGGAAATTTAACCAGTGGATGCTTTCACTGAAAATGATAAACAATATATTCCCAGTATAAACCAGAAACAAAGTCTGCAGTAGAAAACTACAATGTCCCTAGATTCAAGTGGGGGTGGGGAGTCATATTTAAATAATAAGTGCAGAAAAACCAAAATATTTTAAAATAATTGTCCATGCAAGAAAGAAAACAGTATCATCTAGCTTGAAGACCCACTGTTTTTATTTTATAATTTATTTCATGACCTTTAGACTGCTAGAAAAATGAAACCTAACTTGAGGGCAAAGGTAATCTTTGAGAAAATATGTGCTATTGTTGCCTGCATAGATAATAGTGTGATTTATCCAGAAGGTGATAGAAATTTCATTTTCCTAGACCACAGATATAAGCCAAGGAGAATAGAAAGCTCTGACCTAAACTTCACAAGTGTCCCTTCCAAGCAGGGACACGTAAGAGTAAACAAAAAAAGAAGATCAAATTAAACTCAAAGTGAGAAGATAGGAAAAAATAAAGATGAGAATATAAATCAATAAAACAGAAAGGGGAAAGAAAATAGAGAAAAGTCCATAAAAACAAAGGCTGACTCAAGAAGATCAATAAGATTGATAAATCTCTAGCCAGACTGATCAGGAAAAAAATAAGACAAGATACAAATTATTAGTATCAAGAATGAGGAAGGTGAAATCACTACAGATTCTACAGGTATTAAAATAATAAGAAACATTATGATCAACTCCATTCCTTTAATTTGTCAAGATAGACAAAATGAACAAATTTCTTGAAAGGTGCAAATTTATGCAAGGAGAGACAGATAACCTAAATAGGTACCTATTAAAGAATAAAATTTGTTGTTAAAAACTGTCCCACAGGCTGGGCACCAGTGGCTCATCCCATAATCCTAGCACTTTGGGAGATGGATCACCTGAGGTCAGGAGTTCGAGACCAGCCTGGCCAACATGGCGAAACCCCATCTCTACCCAAAACACAAAAATTAGCTAGGCATGTTGGTGCATGCCAGTAATCCCAGCTACTCAGAAGGCTGAGGCAGGAGAATTGCTTGAACCTGGGAGGTGGAGGCTGTAGTGAGCAGAGATCATGCCACTGCACTCCAGCCTGGGCATGGTGGCTCACGCCTGTAATCCCAACACTTTGGGAGGCCAAGGCAGGTGGATCACATGAGGTCAGGAGTTCGAGACCAGCCTGGCCAACATGGTGAAAAACTGTCTCTACTAAAAACACACACACAAAAAAAATTAGCCAGGCATGGTGGCAGGCACATGTAATCCCAGTTACCCAGGGGGCTGAGGCAGGGGAATCACTTGAACCTGGGAGGCAGTGGTTGCTGAGCTGAGATTGTGCCATTGCACTCCAGCCTAGGCAACAAGAGCGAAACTCCATCTCAAAAGAAAGAAAGAAAAAAAAAAAGAAAACACAACAAAAACCCCCCACAAAGAAAATTTCAGGCCAAGATGGTTTCACTAATAAATTCATGTATAATATAAGAAGATACATTTCCACTACTACACAACTTTTCCAGAAAACTGAAGATAAGAATATACTTTCTGATTCATTGTATGAAGCTGGAGTTATGCTAATACCAAAACCAGATGAAGACATTACAAGAATGTAAGACTACAGGCTGGGGCATGGTGACTCACGCCTGTAATCCCAGCATTTTGGGAAGCCAAGGTGGGAAAATTGCTTGAGCTCAGAAGTTCGAGACCAGCCTGGACAACATAGTGAGATGCTGTCTCTATTAAAAATTTTAAAAAAGTAGTTGGGTGTGTTGGCACACAGCTATGGTCCCAGCTACTTGGGAGACAGAGGTGGGAGGTCAAAGCTGGAGTTAGCTATGATCGCACCACTGCACTCCAGCCAGGAATTAGAACGAGAACCTGTCTCAGAAAAAAAAAAAAAAAAAAAAGAAGAAAAAAAAGTGCACAGGTCTACAGCCGTGGTGCATCCACAGTTTTATTAATACTCAGCAAGAAAAGGAAGTACACTGTTAACAAGTACAACAGCATAGATTAATCTCCAAATAATTGTGCTGAAATAAATCAGTCCAAAAAGCACACAGTTCTGTATGATTCCACTTATATACAACTCTAGAAAATGCAAACTAATCTTGGGGACAAGGACGGATGGCAGGGGGAATGCAGAAAATTACAGAGGGACATGAAGAAACGTTGGGAGATGAATATATTCACTATCATGATTGTGGTATCGTTTTCAAGGGTGTATATGTATATATCAAAGCTTATGGAATTGTACATGTCAAATATAGCTTATATCAACTATACCTCAATAAGCCTGGTTTTAAAATTTTTCTTTTTGAAAAAAGGACGAGAATCTAAGCTTCCTTATTCCTGGTTTAGTAATAAACTTGAACAATTTCACCTGTCTCCTCTACTTAAAATGACATTTCAGAATTTTAAAAACAGGATTTTAATAAAATAGCGAAGTTATTACATAAAATGTTTGCTAGTAGTTAACAAATATATTTGTAATACACATATAAATAAAGCCTCATAACATGATAGTAAGCAAATATCAATCTTAAAATTTTTTAAATAAAAGAGCAGCTATATTACATACTGACTTTTTAGAGAGGGTTGGCATAGAAAGATAAGGAGTCAAAGAGGAAGGTAAGAAAAGAGAAACGATGAGAAAGTAAATATACAAGAAAACGTAACCAGAGGCTCAAAAAAAAAAAAAAAAAAAGCAAAGTAGGACAGTAAAATAAACATTTTGACCTATTTATATGACTTTTAAGTTCAAAATAACTTGCTATGAGATTTTCATCATTAACTAACATTTAGATTAGAGAAAATATACATGAAGCAAGCCTCACCCCAGGCAATACAACAGCTCCGATTCCACTTTTCAGCTTTGACCTGCCTCGGCCACCTCGCCCCGACAGTCCTGCACCTCGAGGTCTCCGCTTTCCTGGAAATCCAGACCCATGGCCCTATGTAACAGATTAGGAAAAGTCAACATTCTGTGACAGCCCAAAATAATTTTTAAATCCAAATGCCACTGAGATAAAACATTTTATTAAATGTTATACAAACACTTCTTTAGATAAGTATTAAGAGACCTGGCTTATTATTTTTATCTTTAAAAGTATATTCCACAACTTAAAATTCTAAATATAAAATGCTTACAACCTTAGAATCATACTTTCGGGCTGTCACTGTGAACGCTATCAGCAAGCCTTTGCATGATTTTTCTCTTTGCCACTCCTACATTCTCGGTGACGACAACAACTATAGCCTTATCCAGATATTTCGAAGTGCAACAAATTGTATTCAATATAGAGTAAGGATAAGGAAGAACTCTCTCATTAACTGGTCTCGCGGTGATTACAGTAATAGCTAACATCTATTGAGTACTTACTATGTACTAATCTAAGTATTTTTTACTCTCAACAATCCCATATAGTAGGTTTTATTATCCTCGTTTGAGATGAGTGTGCTGAGGAATAAAATGGCTAAGTAACTTGTCCAAGGTCGCTTAGCTAGCAAGCCTGGCTCCAGCGTCCCTGGGTTGGAAGCATATTCTGTACTGCTACATCAGCATGAAAGTTCATTTTTGCTAGTGTGTAACAGTATTCTTCCTGTCATTAAAATTAAGTCAGTTTCCTTCACTATTCAACAGTTCTCTTATGAACTCAACATTTCTACCTCATTCACCATTGTATTTAGAGGAAAATTTATTATTATTGTTATTACTTTTATTTTTGAGACAAGAACTTGATCCGTCACTCAGGTTGGAGTGCAGTGGTGTGATCACAGCTCACTGCAGCCTAGAACTCTTGGGCTCAAGTGATCCTCCTGCTTCTGCCTCCCAAAGTGCCAGGATTACAGGAGTAAGCCAAAGCGTCCAGCCAGGAAAAATTATGTGAGGATTACAGGAAAGCTGACAAAAGGCTTGGTGAAAGCTTTGCTTTAAATAATCTGAATAACAAATACTTGAAATGGAAATAATGTATCTGACTTCTTACACAAGAAATAAACCTATGGGAAAATGTGTTAAATTCCCTGATAATTTCAGACATTAAGTACCAGAGTATGGTGTTCCCTGCTCCCTCACCCTTGTTCGTACTAATTAATTACTCCTTGAAAAAACCTGGCACCTACCTAAGTAGATGAATTATGTATATTTAAAATTATCCAGATGCTCAGGAAAATACTTAGGTGTTTCCCTCACCATAAGTTAAATAATATGTCATATCTTCAACTGATGTCCCTTATCATAGTTTGAAATGAACTTATTCCCTATTTAGCAGAATGGTTTCCAAGTCAAAAATTTATGAGGATGCTGTAAGCATAAAATAGAAACACATGAACAAAAGGAATGGGAGGAATGGCTTTTTTCCCTTTGGATGTAATAAATACAGCCAGCTCCCAGTTTCAAACTGCCACTCCTGTCTTCTCTTACCCTGCTCTCCTTGAGATCCCTTTTGAGAAGTGCATCAGCTTCTTTGCACAACACATAGATGGGGTCAGGTTAGTTTTTTGGGTTTTTTGTTTGTTTGTTTGTTTGTTTGTTTGTTTTTGAGATGGAGTCTCACTTCTTTGCCCTGGCTGGAGTGCAATGGGGTGATCTTGGCTCACTGCAACCTCCATCTCCTGGGTTCAAGCAATTCTCCTGCCTCAGCCTCCCTAGCAGCTGGGATTACAGGCACATGCCACCACACACGGCTAAATCTCTTTGTATTTTTAGTAGAGACGGGGTTTCACCACGTTGGCCAGGTTGGCCTCGAACTCCTGACCTCCAGTGATCTGCCCCCTCAGCCTCCCAAAGTGCTGGGATATCAGGCGTGAGCCACTGCGCCTGGCCAAGTTTGTTTTGTTATTAAATTGGTATAAAAGATTTTTGAAAAATTAAGTCAGTGATTAAAAATCAAGACTACAGTAATCTCTCAATTTATTTTCTCAAACATGAAATGCTGACCCAGAAAAAAGGTAAGTAAAAATTGGTGGTCTATATTACCAAACTGTCAAATGAGGTATATTTATACCTCAATATCTTGGATGATATCAGGGGGAGGTAGGGAGGTTAAAAAATAATAGTTCTTCCAGTCATGAAAGAAAATAAAGTATAATCTAGAATTCCTTAAAATCCTTGATTAGTCTGAATTAAACAGCCATATTCCAGAATATTAAATATAGAATATGAAGAAAAACTGTCATCTCCAGTCAATGAAGTATTTTAACTTTTGAGTTAATACTTTTTCAAATTAATTTTTTTCTCTTCAAAATGCATCACACTACTTAACTCACTTCAAGGACTGGCACAGCCATCAACCAATGTCATGGGGGAAAAAGCCTTGTCATTTTAAGGTATTAAACAGACAATGAAATCTGCCACAATTTTGGTATTTCTTCTCCATAAGAACATAATAAATTAATGGAGTTTTTTCTTTTGCTTTTTTCTAAGCAACAAAGTTTTATGATATCATGAATGAAAAGGTCCTTAATTACCTTTTGGTCTACATGTCAAGGACTTCTCCCTCATAAAACCGGTAGTAATCACAACAAAAGGAATTAACCATAAAAAGAGCTATTAAAAATGTATACTTGATTTTTAAATGCAAGCATATTATTTCTTTACATTAAAATTTTTAGATTTAAAAAGTGTTTCTGGAAGCTCAATCTAGAAAAGAAAGATTTAATTCTTTACACCCAGTAGGGAAAAACAAATCAGACAGAAATGATATATGAATGTAAATGCAATTTTATTTACCACTTTGATGCTCCAAATGGCACTGCCAGGAAGCTGCCTGGGTTTAAAAATTTCCCGACCTCCTGAAATGTCTGGGGACCAGGAAGGTGGGCTCACTGTATTATGGGTACTCCAAGCCTCCTAGGATATGGCAGTTGAGAAAATAGATGTGTAAAACTCAGCAACATAAAAGGTCAAAGCCAGCAACTAAGGAATTTTAGAACAGCAAAAACAAATGCAAACATATGGAAATTTAGGACAAATTGCTTCAAGGAAGGCAAAATAAGCTAATCACTAACAGTGATTTAAACATTTAAGTATAACAAATAACTTAAATGTTTGCTGCTACAGAGACATCACTACAATGAAACATTAAACATTAAGGTTTATATGACATCAACATTGACTCATGAACTGCAATTACTGCACCAAAAAGTAAATAAAAGTCAATCACACTTTAAGAATTAACACTAGAAGAAAGTATTGGGGGGTTATTTTACTTCTAACAACTATCACTCTACTTAAAAGGAGAAATGGATAACCATAAGGAATTCTATATTCTATAGCTATAAACAACCAAAATCAGTAGGCCAAAGAATGCAATGAGAAACATAAGCAATCGATAAATGCATAAACTTTACACTGTAGAGAGCTGGTAACATTAAAATGCAAATACCATTATAATCTTAGCATTTAATCACTCTTTCTTCAGTGACCATTAGTTGTCGGTTTGGTTTCGGTTTTTACTTAGGGAAATGAATACTTTATGGAAATTACATCCAATGGACAAAAGTGAAGAAACGTTAAAGCAAATTGTCCTAAATTTGCAAATTAAAATGCCTAAAGTACCTGATAAATTATATAGAAAGTAGTATCTTATTAAAATCTATATAACTAATACTAAAGCATTTTACTTCCAAACAACCACATTCAGCAATACCCTGAACTAATCTGAAGATGCTAAACAGCATAAAGAAAAATGTTTACTCCACAAAGATAACATTTTAAAGAAAAACAAGACAAATGTCAAACAATAAAAGAATATATTTTGAATTAGGTAATTTAATGGTGCATGCATAATTTTACCAATCAAGTAACCAAAACTTAAGACAAGGTACATAGTACTTACCAGGTTTCTAGAATATCATCAAATTAACAAGTACTATCTCATTAATCACATAAAAATACCACCAGGAATTAAAATAACCAGAAATAAGAATGTGACTACTCTTGGGGTAAGAGATAGGTAATGGAATAACAGTATTTTGGAAAAGCCACACAAGCAACAGACTGGTTTCATTTTTAAGTCACAAACTCAACCCACACACATTGAAGTCCAGCAATCCAACTCATTCTCTCCAGCAAACACTTTATTTTTTTCCCCCTCCAGGATTACCCTCAGGTGTTCTTTCTTACCCATCAAATCTCTAACCTAGCTCAGGTAATCACTATGCTGATTTCACTGAGCAGCAACCACTGCAGGTCAATTACCTCACTTTCATAATTTCAAATCAACTTGAATCTGTACCTATGTCTTCTTCCCTACTATTAGTAGGGAAGTGTTGTCAAAAGCCATTTCTCCTTTCTCATTTTACTCATGCTCCTAACATCTGGCATACTGTTCTGCTGGATTTGGCAGCAGCCCACCTGTGGATATTTCACTGACTTCCTCGCTAATCTTTCTTCATCTCCTGTACGTGTTCTTCCTCTATTTGACTTCCAAAGCCCTGGAGTTTCCCAGGGCTTGAGCCTAGATCCTAAATGGTGTTATCTACAATGAGGGCATCTTGGAAGTTGATGCTTCCCACATTCTTATTTCTAGTTTTAATCAAAGATCTCCAAATTAGCAGGATTTTCAACTTCCTTCTTAGCATTTCCATTTTCTCACATAAAACCCCTCTTAATTTTGCCATGTTTAAAATTTCTCCCTTAACCGGTTTCATCCCAGTCTTCCCCATCCTTATAAATGGCATCCAGTCCCTTGTCACTCTCCTCTGCTCCTTCAGTCCTCTCCCCCAACACCTCGTCAATGCAAATCATCAGCAAATTCAAGACTTTTTATCTTCAAGTTTTGTCTCCGATCCTTCTACTTCTTGTCACTTCCACCACTAGCAGCCCACTCGTGGCCACCACCATCTCTCACCTAACCTGCTACAAGAGTCTACTGCTGGTTATGCTTCTCCCACCCTGCGTCTACTCAAGCCTTTCCCCACAGCAGCCAGAGGAACTTTTCAAAAGTACAAATGTGATCAAGCAAGTCACTATTCTATTTCAAATCTTCAATTGCTTCTCAGAGCACTTAAAAGACAAACCTTTCCCAGTGCCTTTCTCCAGCTCATCTTGTGGCACTTGTCTCCCTGCTGCTATGCTCCAGCTATTCTGGCTTCCTTGCTGTCCTTCAAACATGCCAAGCTCTTTATCAATCAGAGCCCAGCTGACTCAGAACACTTCACTATACCATTCCAGCCCTTCAATAAATGTCTGGCATTTTCTTTCTTTCTTTTTTTTTGAGATGGAGTCTCGCTCTGTCACCCAGGCTAGAGTGCGGTGGTGCGATCTCGGCTCACTGCAACCTCTACCTCCCAGGTTCAAGCAATTCTCTTGCCTCAAGCCTCCTGAGTAGCTGGGATTACAGGCATGCGCCACCACGCCCGGCTAATTTTTGTATTTTTAGTAGAGAAAGGTTGTCTCCAAGTTGCTCAGGCTGGTCTCCAACTCCCGACCTCAAGTGATCTGCCCACCTTAGCCTCCCAAAGTGCTGGGATTACAGGTGTGAACCACTGTGCCGGGCCAATATTATTTTTTTAAGAAAATACTAATAAAAAGGAACAATTGATATTAAATAAAATTTAACTATTGACTATAAATATATGTTTCAAGAGATTTGAGTGAAAATACCATTCTACGTTAAAATAAAAAATATAACATTCGATAAATATAGTAATAACATGTTCTCAAAGGTTCAAAGGGCTAAAGCTAATGAGAAAAAGTTAAATATAAACATCTTACAATTTACCTAATTACTTGAAATAGAAACTTATGTTCATTCCTGTATTTCTCCATTTTTCCAATTTCTAATGTCTACTTCTTTCCATTTTGTATTTTCTTGTATTGAGGCAATTTAAAGAGGATATGCCAGGTCTTCAGAAAGCCAAGAACTGAACATAAGCACTCTGGAACCTATCTGAACTTAATTTTGTCCAAGATTTTTTTAATGGTTGAAAATTGGCTCAACTGGGGATACTAAGAGGAAATATCAGGGGCAAAGGGGATTTGGGTTAAACAGATCGAACAGGATTCTTATTGAAGGCAGGCCAGACTGATCAGAAATCATCTGGAGGGCGGTGGGAGATAACAAATTTGATCAGATATCAAAGGTGATCAGTACTGAGAGTGGGGGATTCTTTGCAAGTTTCTTCCTAAACCTGAGAGATGTGGGCCAGACTAGGATGAACACTGAAGGCTGAGGCTGAGAGGTGGCTTAGAGGATCCCGACTAGAGTTTGGGCAAGGGGAGAGGCTTTGTCAATGCAAACATGCATTCAGCAATATTACCAAGTACAGATGCATGCACATAAAAATACTGAAAGGAAATATAAGAAAATGTTTAAAAATTTTTAGTGGCTTATTTATTTTATGTAATTTAAATATATGTATATATAAAATTAAGGTGTACTTTGAACACATACTAACACATTCAAAGAATTAAGTATACGTTTGATAATACATAATAGTTACAAAATAAGCAAGGTCTTCATGCAAACGAGTTTAGAATTTCCAGGGTTTATTACTTAGCATTTGATCAGCAGGCCTGTAACTTCTTCTGCTGCCCATTCATTGCCCATTTTATTAAAAATTCCTCAAGTGGATGCATTGGAATGGAAGAAACACTGACTCTTTCCTTCAAAGAAGGAAACAACAAACCTTGTTTGACAACCCTGGTCAAACAAGACAAGGGCCAAGTGGCCAGTGGTAAGGAAAGTTGGTCAAACTAATGAATGACATTTTAGATTAAAAGTGAATTTTATTTAACCCAATTATTCTTATCCTATGCACACAAATTTGAATTTAAGTTAGCTTGATGTAGATGGTCACCCCATTCCAAAGCATGGGTCCAAATACCCTAAGGTTCCAGGAGGAGCCAGCTTTCTTCAGAAGGTGGCAAGTGCATTGCAAAGTACTGAGGAAAACTTTCTTTAAAGTGTCTTTTTTCATCATTCCATATTTTGCTCCTTATAATTGCAACTGCTCTCCTTATACGTCTCTTTTGAAACTTCTCACTTGTCTAAGGTGCTATTGTTCCTCCTCATCTTTTTTTTTTTAATAGCTCAGTCTCTCTCCCTCCTTGCCATGCTGAAAAGGCTTCTGACTTGCTGTTCTTGCCAGGAAACATTTCTGCAGGGCGTATTGGAGTGGAACTACTTACAGAGTGTCAGGGCAAGTCCTTACATTTGTTTATGCTTAGGACACAACACAGAAGATAATTTTCTAAGTTAAAGATTGTATGATTTTATCTTGACTTCAGAAACTGGTCATACTTTTTTACTTTAGTTTCTAAGAACCTCAGAGCTGAACTTGAAACAACTTTAATAATTCCAATGAGACATTTGTTATTTATCCTTTTTAAAAAAGACTTTTCTAATTTAAATAATGTTATTATTGCTCTAAATTTGCCAGGTTCATTTTAGAATTTTATAAACTGTTTTAAAACTAATTTACATTAAGTTGGAATAAAGTTAACCAAATTAATACAAACATATTTTATTGCACTTCTCTTTATTGTGCTTCACAGATAGGAACATTTTTTCTTTATTTACAAATGAGATGTTTGTGACAACCCTGGTGAAGCAAGTCTATTGGTGCCATTTAACAAACAGCCTGTGCTCACTTTGTGTCTTGGTTTCACACTTTGGTAATCTTCACAATTTTTAAAATATTTCCTTATTATTATATTCGTTACGGTGATCTGTGATCAGTGATCATTAATGTTATGGGAGGCGGAGTTTGCAGTGAGCAGAGATCACGCCAGTGCACTCCAACCTGGGCAACAGAGTGAGACTCCGTCTCAAAAAAAAAAAAAAAGGAGTTTTTATATGTAGGGTACAAAATACTATCTGACCTTAGGGTGTGTGCAAATTTTTCTGAATTAATTAAGACTTAAATATCAACAGGAGTGATTGTTTTTGTCACAATCACCAGGTGGGTGATCTGATACTTTCCCCTGAAAAATGCATATACAAAATTTTCACATAATTTAAAAACATCCACAGATGCATAGCTATGGATTCAGTTTATGGATCAAGAATTCAACTCCTCAGAAGTAAAAGATTACATGAGAAAGTATCTGATATTGAGGTGACAAGGAATAATGTTGAAATGTATCTCATTAAAAAGTGCAGACAGTTGTGGCTAAGACATTGGGTATTACAGAGGTGCATCCATGTGTCCAGTGAGAAGACTTTAAGAATCTGTTTGGGAATAATGAGAACATGAGCATTCTCCTCCCTACCTCTAGCACTCCCCTCCTGCTATTTGGGTATTGTGAATTTACCAAACACAGTGATTTAGGTCACTTTTATTATTTCAGAAATTCCAGATACCTTACTACTTATATAAAATAGCCCTTGAAAGGATGCTTACCATTAAATAATGTCTAATACAAAGAAAAGACAAATGTATGTGATCTGTAGTGCATAGTTATAATACAATCTGAATACTACATTTAAATTTTTCACTCCACTTTCCAAGAAATAAAGCATTGATTCTAAATATATTCTCTATTTGTCAAAACAAATAGAAACTCTCTAGTGTTTCATTTATAAAAGAAATTAATCAATGGTGTCTCTAAGTTAATTTTTTACTTCTTTTCCCCATATCATTTTTATATTATGTAAGAGAGCATATTTTTCTACTCTACCCTGGAATTAATAAACAAAAAATAAGGTATGATATTTAACCTAGGGCTACCACATTTTTTTCAGTGTATTTAGTAGGTTCTCCTAAATCTGGAAAAGAAAACTTCAAATATAAACATAACCAAACTAAAATAACACCTTTTTTCTTCTATTTACTTTATTTCTTGAACTCAGTGATGTAATATGTCTTCATCTGCCTCTGAGAATACACTTAAAACTACAGAAGCAAATTAACATTTTCCCAATTCACATGTAGTGCAATATTTAAGATTTCATCTAATTGAACACGTGTTGGATCAAATTTATAATACTAAAAGCACTCTTCTACATACTGCAATGTCTAGATGGAAGACAAGCTAGTCAGGTGGCAGAGTGAACATCATTCTGGTAGGCCTTTTCAAGCTGTCACTTGCAAGATGTTTGGACTGCTGAGAATGTTAGCCATAATTAATTGCAGACATAGGAGGCTGCAAATGGGTGAGGTAATGTTCAAATGCATGGAATGATGACTAGTCATAGTAAAAGATAATAGATGTGGCCACATTGCTTTGAGAAAATTTAGAGAATATTTTGGGTCACAATGATACATTTCTGCATTATTTGTGGAATGTTTTCAATGTAATTACATCACACAGGTAGACTTCCAGATCCTGTGTCTAACTTACTTTCCTTGGCTCTGTGGGAGAACACATATTCTAATGAAGTTCATTTTAAGGCAAATATTTCTTGAAAATACAAAACTGATAGATATATGTATGCAGGTTTCCTTCTTATACGTCTTTTATAAACAATGAAGTTGTATTTCTCTTTTAGTGTTTAATGTGTTTCATCAGATAATGCCCTAGAAGTTTTATCAAATTTTTCTGTCTACCATTTGAAGGTGTATGAGAGGGAAAAAATGCAGTCTGCCTGCTTCACTAACAAAAGTAGGACAAAGGCCATCACAACTGAAATATGTGAAACACTTGGTTTTATGAATTTCAAGCATTTTATATCTCTACATTTGGACTTGAGTAAAGACATTTCATAGAAAAACTGAAATATTTTTATTTGTTTATTTTTTAATCTTGATAACCTGCAATAGTTTACAGCCAGAATGGCAGCTTTTATATATGTACACTCATTTAAATACAGTTTCATACCGTAAATAGCCATGGGGCAAAATATCTGCCTCTAGGCACAAAAAAAAAATCTTTGCCGCTAAATAAACACCTTTAAGTGATACTGCAAAGAATAGATATGAGGTAATTTTTTACCTAAATGACTCTGGCCTGTATTAAGACATATTCACTGTAACAATTCAAGTTTTAAAATCCTTGTTTTGTAACTCAAAAATATATCTTTTTTACAAAACACATCTTTACATTTATTGCTATTGTACATTTATTTGGCAGGAAACAGGGATGTTTGATGTCTTGCAATGATAAAGCAATCATATTCAATAGAAAATTGTCTCACATTCTGCAAGACTTTTGGACATTCTATAAGACAATCACATAAGTGAAAAACAAATTTGTAGATATTTGAGTACAACCATTTAATATATGAATAAAAGCAGTTCAGAACATTTTAATGTACACTGCATTTTCTGATAGTAAGATTTTAGGTTAAAATAAGATTATACTTCAAAAAGTGTACCATTTTGAAAAAAAATCATGTCACTGCTGGCAATGCCATTTTCATACTAGTCCAACATATTGCTTATCCATCTGTGTTTGTTTGATTTTACTGTTATTACTTTCATGGTAATGCTAAAGTACATACATACATACACACACACACACACACACACACACACACCCCTAAGGTGTGCAGGCTTTCATCCAAGCTTGCTGGTATTAATTAAAAATCAACCAGAGGTAGGGAAAAATAAAACTTATTCAAAAATACTATTGCAATAGGGAGAATATTCCAAACTCAATCTACAGGTGTCTCAGGATCAAACAGGAAAAGGCTTTCCTTTTCTAGGGAAGGACAAGCAGGGCTGGCAGAAGCCTCCTTGGAGAGAAGGACAGGCAGTGGGGTGAGCAGGTGGCAAAACCAGGATGCTCCAATAAAAATAGTTTCTCTGGGAGTCCCGCTCATTTTTGGAGTGAGCTGTTAGCGGGCTGGTCTGTCCTTTAGTGCTTGTTCAGTCTTAGGTGGTGAGCCAAGGTCCAGGGGCCTGAGGAGAGGAGACAAGACTGTCTGAAGTTTGATAAAATCAAGTCAATGGGTAGTTATGAGTAATTGTGAGCAATTGATCAGCTTTGGGCTCAGCACACACCCCACCTTTGTTGTTTACCACAAACAAAACTTGTCCCTAAAAATTTTTAGGAATGGCATCAGATATAGCGAAGGTTTGCAAACTGATTTTCAGGGTTGGGCTGGTCTTCATGTGTTTGTTAACCTTGAGGACTAGGTATATCATTTGTTAAGTGTGTTATTGGACTGACAGCTGCTCTCTATGAAAAGTAGAATAATCATTGAATATAATAAAAAGAATAATCATTGAAGGTTGGATAAAGAGGTCCGCGGAGCGATGGGCGAGTACGCGGGTGCCACACGCTCCTCGCCTTCTGCTGCCTGCAACTGGTGGCAGCGCTGGAGCAGCAGATCTTTGACTTCCAGGGCCGCCTACCAGTGAGCTCCCACCCTAGCCAATTTCCTGCGCCTCGTGGCGCTCACCCTGGGCATCGTGGGCACCGCAGTGTGGCTGACGCTCCGGGCTGCCCTGAGTGCGTTTATCACCTGCTTCTACCCGAAGGCTGGACCCAATATCCCCAGACCGCGACTTCCCCACAGCGTCCAAATGCCCCTGTACCGATCCAGGGATGGAGAATCGCCGGGCAGCGGGCGACTCCGGTTCTGAGCTTCCCCTGGCCATGGGGGGCTGCCGTGCAGTCTTGTCCCTGGCTGCCTGCTGCACTGTCCCTGCAAAGAAGCCCTCAGCAGCGCCCGCAGATCCTCCTGGCGCTGCTCCGCTTCCTGTTCGCCAGCTATGGGAGCAAAGTCTTCCTGAAGGAGGAGGCAGCTTTGACTTCATCAGCGGCTTCCACTCCTAGGGATGCCAGGCGCCCCAGAAGACGTCACGTTGACACCAGCAGCCTCTATGCGCTTCGGGTAGCCCTGCCCCGCCTGCCCTGGCCCTGTTCCCTTGGCGCTGGACTGACCTCGGCAGCCGCGATCTTGGTCAGGACCAGCAGGCACAGCCTGGGGGCTCGGGACCCACTGCAGCCTGTGAAGGCCCCATGGCTCTGCACACAGAGAGGCGGAGCAGCAGACTTTGGGACTTGGCCCCTCACAACCAGGACTTCAGAGAGGATTGGGGCGGGTAAGGGAGGGGCCACGGAGTCCGCATTTTAAAAAATTTCAGACTTAGTGTGAGCTGGAGCTTTTCTCCCTTCTCCAGCCTCTTCCTTTCACCCTTCACTCAGCATCCCGCCCCTGTCCAGAGAGAAACAGCAGGAGGGCTTGCCCTTTCTATCTCACCGCACTCACTCCCCAGCCTGAGGAAAGCCGGGGGAACTAGGGGCAGGAGTTCTGGTTTCTCATCGCAGGTCCATCAGACTCTGGGTGACAGCTAGCAGAACCCTAGCCCTCTCGGTGCCTCAGTTTCCCCACCTTGCCATTAAAAGAGTCCCTTGGTAGGTGAGCTCTTCTGGCCTTCTCATATAACTCTGAATTCTGTGGGCTGGGGTGGGATTATAAATCCCATTTTGCAGATGTAGAAACTGAGGCCAAGAGAAGTGAAATGGTTTGAGGCCACACTGCTAGATTTTGGTGGAAGCAGGCCTTGAACGCAGCGGACTTTCTGTAGTTTCAGCCTCTAAAACCCAGTGTCCTCTCTGAGTACCATTTTCAGGCCCCTCACTACATTCACACATCACTGCTTGCCAAGACCTCTCCTCAACCACCATCTTATCAAAGGTGACAAGAGTCACCTTTGCTCCAGTTCCCAGCAAGTTCCTCATCTCCATCAGAGACTGCCTCAGCATGGATTTCATTGTCCATATCATTATCAGCATTTTGGTCAAAGCCATTCAACAAGTCTCTTGGAATTTCAAACTTTCCCACATTTTCCTGTCTTCTGAGACCTGCAAATTGTTCAACCTCTGCCAGTTACCCAGCTCCAAAGTAGCTGGGATTACAGGCACACACCACCACACCCGGCTGATTTTTGTATTTTTAGTTTCATCATGTTGGCCAGGCTGGTCTTGAACTCTCGACCTCAGGTGATCCTCCCCCCTTGGCCTCTCAAAGTGCTGGGATTACAGGTGTGAGCCACTGCGCCTGGCTGCTGCTCCTTTTTTTTTTGTAATGGACCTGAGAGATCTTTAGGAATGAGGGAAATGATCCTTTCTTTGAATAAGGCAGAATACTAAAGACTAGCCAGCCCTCAGGCTCCTGGTGGTTGCTGCTATTCTGTTGAATGTGAACCATAGCCTTTAGAAAGGAGCAAGTCTTTGTGGAATACACAGGATTTGAAGTGCAACAAAGGGGTGGAAACCCAGCTGACCATCATACCTTCAAGTGAGTTTTTCCACTGAATTTGATTATTTTCTCATTTGGCACTTCTTTCTGGGTTTTTTAAGCAGCCCAAAAACTCTAGGTGATTTTACTTTTGTAATTGTATTCTCTTGGGAATGCTCATTCCTGATTCCTCGTTTCACCAAATAGGTGTGGAACCTTCTTGTTTCTGACTATAATAATTCTGGAGTCTTTAAACAAAACGACTGTGACTTTTCATGATGAGTAGAAGATAGGTTTTACTCATGCTACAATCAATATTAATTCCTTGCAGTTCAAAGACACTGAGGCCTTGTCTAATAATATAGAAGTTGAACTTGGACTTGGGAGATGACTCCTGCCTCTCATCCTCTTTGTGGCTCTGCTTTCTATTATTTTACTCATAAGCTTGTTTTGTCTCCTTGCTGAGAATTGTCAAACATGAAATGTAATTTCAGGCTATAGTGAAGAAAGATGACGTAGGCAGAAGAAATTGGCAATCATTTGGCCTGTACATGTTGCTTTTTGTTTTTTTTTCTGGACTTAGGATATAGACCACACCTTGACATTTCTGGCCTTTGAGTCTTTCACAACTGTGATTATAATACATTAGCTCTTCTAGAAGTTAGAAGTGACTTTGGATTAAGTCTTTCATAAGGTGGCTAAATGAATTTATATGGCTCATCACAATTCACTAGATTGGTTAAGCAGGAAGTTTACAGAGATTTTTTTCTTTGCTGTAAATGTTTTTCTAAATTGAAAAACTTCTATTACTGTCTTCTGGAGTACTAGAAATAAGTGCAAGTGATTGTTTTTGGCAGGAGGCCACATAAACATTTCTGCTTCTCTGTGCCTTATGGGTAGCATTGATATAAATTGTTAAAAATAATGATTGTAGATAGATAATGTATCAGAGTTTGGGCTCAGCTGCGGTAGCTGCTGTTGACCCAGAGGGACCACTGGGATCCTCACATCTCAGGGCAGCACATCGTTTGCAGCAATGGTTGGTTCTACGCAACCTTTTATGAAATTAGGTGAGGCCCTTGCTTAGAATTTTTTAAAAGCTTAATATGAGTTTATATCTCTTTAAATATCAGTTTCTAATATTTTTTTAAAGGCCTATGTTTACAACAAATTTAGGAGATACCTTTATGCACTACTAACTAGTGTTCTTTTGTGATGCTTTAGAAATTCTGGCTTACTTGTATTTTTGCTGGCCTTCTAATGATTTCACTCATCAATCAGAAGATATTTGTGTCCACCTCCCTGCTTCCTCTCCGGTGATCTTGTCTATTCTTGGCCATTTTAGAGTTGACTTAGCAGCCTTCACAAAACTGATTGGAATTTCCACTGGGATTAAATTGATAGGTCATTTTTGGGAGACCTTTGCAATATTGAACTTTCCAATCCATGAACTTTACTTATCTGCCCATTTATTATGTTTGTTTTTGGTAGATTACAAAATTATATGATCACTCCAAAAATTACCTTGCCCTTTAGAATAAAACCTTCCATTGTAAACTTCTGGCAATAACTGATCTGTGTTCCTCTAGCATTGCTTTTTTTTCAGAATTTTATACAAATGGAATCGTTCAGGATGTAGCCTTTTGAGTCTGGCTACTTTCATATACTGTATCAACAGTTATTCCTTTTAATTGCCAAATAGTAATCCATTGTATAAATACTACATGGTTTGCTTATTGGTTTGTCATTGGAGGAATATGGACTATTTTCACTTTTTGATAAATTATAAGTGGATTGGAATTCACAAAGTGCTTTTTGTCTGAGCATAGGTTTTCATTTCACTTGTGCAAATGCCTAAGGGTAGGATTGCCGAGTCTCATGGTCCATGTACGTTTGACTTTATCAGAACCTGCCAAATTGTCTTCCAAAGTGCTGTGCCACTTCTGTTTCTTTAATAAATACAGGGGTATTCAAGCTGTCTGTTTCTTCTTGAGTTTCGGTAGTCTGTCTTTCAAGGAATTGATCTATTTCACCTAATTTGTAGAATTTAGAAGCATATAATTGTTTGTTTTGTTTTTGTAGTGTCCATTCTAGCCTTCTAGTGTCTACAGGATTTGTAATAATATTCCTTTCATTTCTGGTATTGGCAATTTGTGTTTTCTCTTCTTCCTTTGTCAGTCTGCTAGAGGCTTCCTCATTTGATTGACTTCCACCTCCCACCACCCTTGCAAAGAACCAACTTTGGATTCCGTTGAATTTTTTTCCTTTACTGTTTTTGTTTAAATATTACTGATTTAGTCTGTTTTTCTTATGCCTGATTTGAGTTTATTTGGTTCTTTTTTTACTTAAAGTAAATGCTTACATTATTGATTTGATGCTTCATTTCTCATAATTTAGTGCTATAAATTGCCCTGTAAGCACATATTTTGGTAAGATGATGTCATATTTATTAAGTTCAAACTGTTTTCCAATTTGTCTTAAGATACTCTCTTTGACCTATGGGCCATTTAGAAGTACGCCATTTAACTTCTCATATTTGGGGATGTTCTAGAAATGTTCTAGATTCCTAGTTTAATTCTGTCATCAGAGAAAATAATTCACTGAATTTTAATTGTTTAACTTTAGGGTTTGTTTTATGACCCAGAATATGATCTCTCACCACCACCATCCAGATAATTCTTCAGGTTTTGACGTTTCCCAACCTGTCTGCTGGTTACTTTTCAGAGTACTTGGGTCATTGCTATTTATATTTTGTCTAGAGTTTCAAATTGTGATCAGTGGAAATGACAGGCCGTAGCATGCATACGCCATCCTGGCCAGCATCACAGGCGGTCAGCATATCTTTCTGTTGTTGTTTTGAGACAGGGTCTCACTCTGTTGCCCAGGCTGGAGCACAGTGGCATGATCAAGGATCACTGCATTCTCAACCTGCTAGGCTCAAGTGATCCTCCCACCTCAGCCTCCCGAATAGTTGGGTCTATAGGTGTGCTGCCATGCCCAGCTAATTTTTGTATTTTTTATAAAGACGTGATTTTGCCTTGTTGCCCAGGCTGGTCTCAAACTCCTGAGCTCAGGCCATCCTCTCACTCGGGCCTCCCAAAATACTAGGATTATAGGCATGACCACCACACCTGGCCAGTACATCTTAAAAATAATTGCTGATCCACGTTGAATAATGATGGCCTGTAAATACTTTCTCTTGCACTTGCTTTGTTGGGTTTTGATATCAAGATTATTTTTATTTTAACCTTGTAAAATGAACTCGGGAGTCTTCTTTTTTTATTCTCTGTTTGTGTTGGTGGCAGAGTTTTTTTTTTTTTTGTTTGGTTGGTTGGTTTGTTTCTCTTGTATGTTTCACGGAACTTTTTGGTGAAGGCACTTGGGCCTGGAAATTTCTTTATGGGAAGTTTTTTCATTACTGATTCAATATATTTAATCTATGTAAGTTTTTTTTCTACTTTTTGAGTCAATTTTGATTTTTTTTCCTAGAAATTCATATCTCACCAAGTATGGTGGCTTATGCTTGTAATCCCAGCACTTTGGGAGGCTCAGGTGGGAGGACCACTTGACTACAGTAGTTCAAGACCAGCCTGGGCAATATAGTGAGACTCCATCTCTACAAAAAAAATAAAAATTAGCTTGGTGTGGTGGTGGGTGCCTGTAGTGTGAGCTACTTGGGATGCTGAGGTGGGAGGATCATTTGAGCCTGGAAGGTTGAGACTGCAGTGAGCTGTGATTGTGCCACTGCACTCCAGCCTGAGCGACAGAATGAGACCTTGTCTCAAAAAAAAAAAAAAAAAAAAAAAAAGATTTGTCATCTGTGCTTTAAAGTCTGTTGGCATAAAGGTATTCATAATTTTACATTATGAATTTGTTTATTTGAGACAGGGTCTCACTCTGTTGCCCAGGCTGGAGTACAGTGGTGCAATCATGGCTCACTGCAGCCTCCACCTCCCAGGCTCAAGCTACCCTCTTGCTTCAGCCTCCCAAGTAGCTGGGACCACAGGCACGTGCCACCATGCCCAGCTGATTTTTGTATTTTTGGTAGAGACGGGGTTTTGCCATGTTACCCAGGCTGGTCTCAAACTCCTGAATTTGAGCATTCCTCCCACTTCAGTCTCCCAAAGTGCTGGGATTACAGGTGCGAGCCATCGTTCTTGGCCTGCAAGTTATGACTTCCTTTCAGAGTCTTTCTATCTGTAGTACAGTCCTCCTGTGCAAGATTGTTTTTTGAATGCTTTTTCTTGACAAATCTTGCTAAAGGTCTGTGAATTTTATAATGTATTTTTTAAGAACCAGGTTTTAGCAGGGCATGGTGGCTCATACCTGTAATCCCAGCACTTTGAGAGGCAAAGGTGGGAGGATCGCTTGAGCCTGTAAGGGGGAGGCTGTACTAAGCTGTAATTGAGCCACTACACTCCAGCCTGGGCAACAGAATGAGACCCTATCTGAAAACCAAAAAAAAAAAACACAAGTTTTAGCTTGGCTGATTCTATTGTGTGTTTCTTTTGTATTTCATTTGTTTGTTATGTTTTTCCTTTTTCTTTCTTTGAATTTAACTTGTTCTTTGTCTGATTTATTGACTGATGCTTAGTTTTTTGGTTTTTTTTTTTTTTTTTTTTTTTTTTTTTTTTTTTTTTTTTGAGACGTAGTCTCACTCTTTCACCAGGCTGGAGTGCTGTGGCACAATCTCGGCTCACTGCAACCTCCAGCTCCCGGGTTCAAGCGATTCTCCTGCCTCAGCCTCCCAAGTAGATGGGACTATAGGTTTGCGCCACCACACCCAGGTAATTTTTGTATTTTTAGTAGAGCTGGGGATTCACCATGTTGGCCAGCACAAAGTACTCGGATTACAGGCATGAGCCACTGTGCCTGGCCAGTGCAAGTGTCTTTAGCCAGCTTCATTTACTCCCTAACTCCTTGCCTCAGGTTCTGCATCCGTAAAGTGAGGTCACTAGGAGTATTTACCTCAGAGGGCTGTTGCAAGGTTAAAGCTGGTTATACAAGCAGAGTACTTGGAACAGTGTCAGTTACCTGGCTGGGGCTCAGTAAGTGCTGGCTGTCCTCATTGAAAAGGTTCAAGTGTTGTGTTTTCCTGTCACCTGATCTGGAAAGAGGTCAAACAAAGGATCTTTTAGCCCATGCCACTTCCTGTCCTTCCTTGGCTGAAGGCTGACAGGTAAGAATCCCCAGAAGTTGTCACCGATGTGCCTGTGGAAGTGCCTTCCTGATTGCTTTCCCTCTGGAGCCTTTAAGTTCCATGAAGCACTTAGTTGGCCTGGACTCCACCTATTCAGCATGCTGTGGCAGCTCAGTTCAGATCCCATTTTTAACTTGGGACTGCATAGATTCCCCATCATTTCTTTTAGGACCAGGTGGGCAAGAAGATCCAGTCAGTGCTTTATTACTTCTCACTGATATTCACAGAGCACATTTAATGTGAGCCATGGAATAAGAAAACTCTTAGTCACATTCTGTGTCATGAGAAGGTTACTTAACCTTGAAAACCATTTCCTTGACTGGTAAATGCGGCTGTAATGAAATCGACCCCATTCACTGTTGTGAGGATTAAATGAGATGATGTATGCAGAGCAACTAGGACAGTGCCTGGGAAAGTGCTACTCATGATCATTTATCTTCAGTTTAGAACAATATATACTTGCTTATTTAAAAAAGGAGATAATAGAGAAAAGGTATTGAGAAAAATAGGAGAGGAGAAAATCACTCATATTCTCACCATTCAGTGATTCAGCCCAGTATCATCAATGTTTTGTTTGGTTGTTTTTGTAGGTGTAGGATTTTTTTTTTTTTAAACGTAATTTTCCTGCATATGCAGTTTCGCATTTTTAACCCAAACTTAATGTTCTTTTTAATGTTCTTGTACTTACAAAGATTTATCCTGTTTTTAGATTGATATCTCACCTTGGCAGAAATGAGATAAAATTTTAAAATATTCATTTGGTGGCTTTCACAGTATTATTTGATCTCTAGGGTCTCCTGTGAGTTTGCTACATGGTACATTGTATTACTTTCATCTTATAGATGAAGAAAGATACTAGTGTGGCTGAGTCACATGCAGAATTTGGAGGAGCATGGTGCTGAATGAGTTTTGATGATTGTAGGGGCCACAACTGGAAAAGTAGATGTAAAATGGTGAGGTCGATCCCTCTGACACTTTCACATGCTCAGTCACACATCTTGAACATATAAGTTGGATCCTGTGCCTAGAGGAGGTAGGTTTCTGAGCCAAGGCATATTCCAAAAATTGCATGAGAAGCTGGCTTTCCCAGGCACAGTGAGCCCTCCAGGCTCACTAACTCCTGAATCATACCTCCTGCCCCTAGCCAGGTTTATCTAGGACTTGAGCACAAAGAAAAAGTGGGAGCATCTTTGAACAACCAAATATCTTGAAAAACTAGTTAAGTGGTATCATATATTTGTGGGATGGGTGATTTCAAAACCCAGTCTAAAAGGACAGGACCTTGCTCATTGACAATTTATTGTCTGATGCAATGTTTCTTAATCTTTTTGGGTCTTGGATTCCCTTGAGAATCTTTTGAAGTTTATGGACTCTTTTCCCAGAAGAACACACTCATGTGTATGTAACACAATTTTGCATTCAATCTTAGGGACTGCAGGTGTCTACATTAGTTATATATTGGTGTAAAAAAAAAGCCCCAAACTTAAGGCTTAAAGGAACAATAGATGTTTATTATCTCACAGTTTCTGTGGTTCAGAAAGTCAGTAACATCTTAACTGGATACTTCTGACTCAGAGTCTCTCAGGAGGTTGCAATCAAGATGTTGTTGGGGGGAAAGGGGCAGGTTCAGTGGCTCATGCCTGTAATCTCTACACTCTGGGAAGCAAAGCCAGGAGGATTACTTGAGCCCAGGAGTTTGAGACCAGCCTGGGCAACACAGTGAGACCCTATGTATTAGTCAGTTCTCACATTGCTATAAATACATGAGACTGGAGAATTTATAAAGAAAAGGGGTTTAATTGTCTCACAGTTCCACAGGCTGTTCAGGGAGCATAATGCTGGCATCTGCTTGGCTTCTGGGGCAACCACAGGAAACTTTCAATCATGGTGGAAGGTGAAGGGGAAGCAGGCACGCCTTACATGGCCAAATCAGGAGCAAGAGAGAGAGGGGGGAGGTGCCACACACTTTTAAACAATTAGATACTGTGAGAACTCTAACGAGCACAGCACCAAAAGGGTGATGCTAAATCATTCATGAAAGATCCATTCCTGTGATCCAGTCACCTCCCACCAGGCCCCACCTCTAACACTGGGGATTATAATTGAATGTGAGATTTAGGTGGGTACACAGACCCCAACCATATCATCCCATCTCTATAAGAAATAAAAAAGTTAGCCAGGCATGGTGGTGTGTGCTGGTGGTCCCAGATACTCAGGAGGCTGATGTAGGAGGATCATTTGAGCCTCAGAGCTCAAGGCTGCAGTGAGCTATGATTGCACCACTGCACTCCAGCCTGGGTGACAGAGTGAGACCCTGTCTCAACAACAACAAAAAGATGCCTGGGGTTGACATTATCTGAAGGCTTGACTGAGTTGACTGAGGCTGGAGAATCTACTTCCAGTCACGTGCTAGCAAGTTAGTGCTAGCTGTTGGCAGGAGGCCTCATGCGGTCCTCCCCATATGGCTGTTTTGATGTCCTCATAACATCGTGCTTGTCTTTTTATGACCTAGCCCTGGAAGTCACATTCCACCATTTGTGCATTTCCTATTGGTCACATAGGTCAGTCCTATTTAGTGCATAGGGCAAGGTCTGAGAGGGGAGTAGTGCTGACTGCCCATGCCCTCTCCTGGTGCACACCGCTTCCAGCACCCAGAAGCTCTCCTAACTCCGTTATTTAGGGTTTTCATATGGGATTTCATTACATGGGTATGACTGATCAAATCACTGACCAATACTGATTGGATCAATCTGCGGTCCCCCTCTTGTCCTTGGAGGTCTAAGGGTGGGGCTGAAAACTCCACAACTCTAACCGTGGCCAGCTCCTTCCTTGAAACTGCCTCCATGCTCACCTTCATTCACCTCATTAGCATAAAGTCTGGGATGGCCAAAAGGGGCTTCTTATAAATAACAAAAGGTACTCCCATTGCTTAGGAAGTTCCAAGGGGTTTAGGAGCTCAGTGCCAGGAACTGGGGACAAAGACCAAATATGTATATATATATAAATACTACAGTAGTGAATTTTATATAGCAAACATGCATTATTTTTCTTTTTGGCTAAAATTTTTTTCTAGTTATAAAACTGGTACATACTCATTGCAGAGGACTGGGGGAAGGAGTAAAATATTAAGAAAAAAATAAAAATCACTTGCCATCCTGTCACCTAGTATTTTCTTTCTAGTTCTTTTCATGCAGTTATATATAACATTTTGATCTTTCTTTTTATGTTACAGAAGTCATATTTGCTTATTGCAGAGTAATCCAAAGAGTACAGAATGTCTAAAGTTTAAAAAGTTATTTAAAAAAAATGATCCTTGCCTGGGAGGAACTTTCTATTGTAGGTTGAGAGGGGAGATAGAGGGGCTGTGGGTCAGAGGATGCCCTGGTCAGGGTTGGGTGCCTGTGTCTCTTTGGAGGCAGCAGAGGTCTGCACAACAGGGTATTACCATTATAGGGAAATGGGGGGGGGGATGTGTGGAAGGGGAATTAAACTGCCAAGAAGAAAACAATTATTTTTATGTTGAGAAGCATTATTTTCAGGGGTCAGAAGCCCTTTGTGGGGCAGAGGGAAATTAAGGAGGTATTTAATAAACAGGTGCAGCTGAATGTGTGTGGTTAAAGTGCAATCCAGTAGTTATTTATTTGTCTGGATTGTTTATAACCTGCTTCCAGCCTAGACAAGTTGATTTGACCCTGCTGTCCTGGCTCATTCAGGCCACTTAACACTGTTTACCTTTGGGTGGGGAGGACATGCATGATCCGCTGGCCGAGTGCCTTTGTAAGGTCTGTAAATAGGATGCATTCTGGTTAAACTCATTATTGCATCACAAAAGCCAGTATCTGATGGGTCTCAGCTCTTTTCTTTTGCACTGGGGAAGACTGGAGGAGAATGAAACTTCCTTGAACCAGTGATTGGGTCTCTACCAAAGAGAGAAACTTAAAGCTAGTGAGAGCCTTAAGATATTTCATTTGAGCACTTGGCTGGCACCATGTAGGTAGAGACACTTTAAAGTAACAGTGCTTTGCTACACCTGATTTGAATCATCTGTGGAGCTTCAAAAAAAATCCTAATTAATCCTAAGACCAGTTATGTCAGGTGGGGTCCAGGCACTGTTATTTTTTTAAAGCTCCCCAGGTGATTCCAGTGTATGTCCAGGACTGAGAAGCAGTCCTTGAAGATGCTGGTGTACCCTGACCTGCCTCCAGCCTTCTTTGCAGGAGATGGATGGGGGTTGGTTGTAGTTGCTCTGTCATAGAACACGGCAATTCAAAGGATACCTAATGTTATGAATGTAGGTAAATTGTTTGCAAAATGTTCTGTGTTTCAGGAATACTGCAATCATTTGATTCAAAGGTCATTGTGTGTGTGTATACAGTCATGGGTCACTTAATGATGGGGACATGTTTTAAGAAATGTGTTGTTAGGCAATTTCATTCTTGTGTGAACATCATAGGGTGTATTTCAACAAACCTAGATGGGATACATATTTTCATTTATATATTTTATTATGGAAAATCAAATGTCCCAGCACTGTTACTAAATATCAGTCATTTCCCCTACTTGATCTGCCATGCCAACATTAAGTGCCATTTATTAGATCTCTATATATGCTCCATTATAATCTTACAGGATCACTGTTGCACATGTGTTTCCTCATTGACTGAAATGTTATTCAGTGCATGACTATACATATAGTAAAAATGTTATGCACCATATTTTAACATACTGATATTACTAATGAGTTGTCCTCATGGTGACTTTAAATATCATAATTAATGCCATCAACCAGAATATATCAAATAAATTCAGATACCACTTGTTCTGTTTATTTCCTTCCCCTGCCAATTTTTTATTTTTCCTGATTCTGCTGAAGCCAAGATGGGGTTCTGTGTAAGATTTTGTTTGTGAGGAAAGGTTCTGTATGAATTAAAGTTTTGCAAGCCATGGGCATTTCATTGTATGGGCTGTTTTGAGGTCTGTCATCTTGCAGATTAGATTAGCTTACACTGAGGCACAGTCACCTGCTGGGCTGGGCAGAGAGCTGCACTCCACTAGTATTTGAGTTGTCCCGGCTGTTCACCAGCTGGATCCACTTCAGATAGGCATAGCCAGGGCAGCCGCCATTCCCATTTGTGGGGGAAAAGGGAAGCTATCACAAGAATGGGCTGCAGCTGTGGGATGAGGTGGGCAACCCAGTGATGGTGTCATTGTCAAGGGGCCATTGAAATGTCCTTAAGCAGTCATTGGCCAAATCATGTCCTCTATGGATCCAGAGCCACAGAATATTCCAGCAGAAATATGTCTTAGCCAGCAGCTCTTTATTGAGGACTGATTGTGGGCTAGGCTCTGTGCTAGGGTCTTTACAGATGTTACTAAATCTTCTCAATAACCCTATGAGACAGGCATTATTATCCCCATCTTACCGATGAGAAAACTGAGGCTTAGAGAGGTTAAGCAGCTTATCCAAGACCACAGTTAATAAGTGACAAAGCCAGCATCGGAACCCATGCTAGTCCTCTCTAAAGCCTTCTTAGAAATCATGTGATAGATGAGAAGATCAAGGTCTGGAGAAGAAAAGTAAGTTGTCTGAGATGACACAACCAGCTCTAATTGGTGGCAAAGCTGCGCCTATAACTCACCTGCGCTTTTCACACCCTGCAGTACGTGACCACTGCCGAAATGAAGAGGCAGCGGTGTGCCCCCTCCCACCTTCTGAGTGGCTCAGGCACAATCAGTGTTGAGTTGGCATGAAATGAGAACTTAAACTCACCATGCCACTTTAAGAAGAACATGCAGAAGGCAGGCAGAAGTGACCTTGGAGAACAGTATCTGAGCCAGAAGGCAGGAGGTCAGCGGGGGAGTCTTGAGTGGGAAACTCAAGGGTAGCCTGACTGTCCTTGTCGCAGGTTTAGCTGGGCACTGTTAGTTCCCCCCTTTGTCAGTTTGTGGGAATCTGGGCATCAGGGATCTGTTTCAGCCCTTCACATTTGTATTTGGGTGTGCTCAGCTTAAAACGATAGCAGCCTGCAGGAGCTCAGCTCTGCCTCCATTTATGGAGGGAAGAGAAACGAAGGAATGCTCCTTGGGGTGGTGTTGGGGAGCAGCTACATGGGAAAATGAAGGGTGCAACACCAGTAAAAAGGTGCTCCCAGGACTCCCTCCCACCAGCACTCGGACCAAGGAAGAAGCATTTAATTTCAGCCAGATTTCTAGATGGTCGCTTTTATTTGTTTTCATCTGAATTTGTGCCAAGGATTCAACTTTTCCCGCTTATTTTATTAAAAACTTTATACACAGCATTAATAAATAGATATAAACTGCCATATACATGACAAACAGAGGGGCTAAATGAAATTCCCAAGGGTCAGCTGTTGAATAAGTAACAAAAGCACATCTTGGCATGAACAAATTCCCATATATTCAAATTAGGGACAGTGCTTTACCACAGGGTGTTTTAATTAATATTTATAAATCACAGAGTGCCTTTGAAAGGGCCAGTAAGCTGTTTATATTGTTATCATGTCACACAAATAACAAACCCTTTGGAGATTGCTGCCTACTTTGCATTTTGGTCTGAGAAGTAAGTGAGCATGTTGCGTGTGTTTCTCTCCCTCGTAGGTGTGGTGTCAGCACAGCGGCAGGTCACCGTTAAGGAAGGACCCTTGTACCGCACGGAGGGCTCCCACATCACTATCTGGTGCAATGTGAGTGGCTCCCAGGGACCTCCTGAGCAGAATTTCCAGTGGTCCATTTACCTGCCTTCGTCGCCAGAGCGAGAGGTGCAGATCGTCAGCACCATGGACCCTTCCTTCCCCTATGCCATCTACACCCAGCGCGTCCGCGGAGGGAAGATCTTCATAGAAAGAGTCCAGGGGAACCCAACCCTATTGAACATCACAGATCTTCAGGCCCGGGATGCCGGAGAATATGAATGCCACACACCCAGCACCGATAAGCAATACTTTGGGAGTTACAGTGCAAAGATGAACCTAGTGGGTAAGGAGAAGGTGTCTTCACGTTGCCAGCGTCTGGCCTGACTCAGTTCTTTAGTAGTGTAATTTTGCTTTATGCCATGCATTTGACTTTAAAAAAAATCCCAAAACTCCCAACATATTTTAGGGGTCAACAGATAGCACAAGGAAACTAAATTTCTGTGTTCACTTCTAAATAATAGGTGGTTGAGGGTGAAACTTTAAAAAGATCTAATGCAGATGTTAAGAATTTCATAAGTTAACTAACCCTGTAACTGGTGAAAAGGGATATGAAAATATAAGGCAAGGACGTTTGTGGCTGATGATCTGAATGACAAGGAAGATGAGACGTATGACATCAGTTGGAAGAGAGGAGAAACCTCTCGGAAGGATAGGCCTTTGGGTAGCTCTGAGACCCACGGGGCACTGCTGAAGCAGGAAGCACATGTGGCTGCGGGTCCTTGCTCAGACCTTGTACATTGAAGGTCCTTTGGCTCCATGCGTAAGGAACTATGAACTGGCTGTCTCCCTTGTTGCTCCTTAATGCTGAAGGGAACATGAGGAAGAGGGATGCAGGAGCTTCCAGTGTGGGCAGCACTGGTCACAGTGTTTGCCAGTGTCAAAGGGTTAACCGTATCAAGGCTGTTCTGTTTTTCTGCCTATCTTAATGTGCAGTTTTTATTATCACAACTAAGCAGTGGGTGTTGCTAGTTCTTTTATTAATACACATACTATCATTTGTTTATTTTTCCTTTCTCTAACTAGTCTGTGTCCCAGCAGGAGACCTTTTATTTTTCGTGTGTGTGTGTGTGTGTGTGTGTGTGTGTGTGTGTGTGTGATGGAGTTTCGCTCTTGTTGCCCAGGCTGGAGTGCAATGGGGCTCACTGCAACCTCCACCTCCCGGGTTCAAGCAGTTCTCCTGCCTCAGCCTCCCGAGTAGCTGGGATTAGAGGCAGGCACTACCATGCCTGGCTAATTTTGTATTTCAAGTAATTTCTTCTTCTCATGTCTCCAATTTTTAAAAATTGTCTCTAGTCCCTTTGAAAATACATATTTTATAGTGTCTATCTAGTGGTTCTATTAGCTGAGGTTTTTAGACATCTAATCCCATTCTTTGTTGTATCTGTTAATTTTGCTTATGGGATATTTCTTCTTATTTTAAGTTCAGATTCACTTGGCTTTACCTTTGAGACTTTATGCAGTCTGGGATCAGGAGTGTCTATTAGAGATTTTTTGAATTAGCATCTACTAAGTGTTCTAGGGATACTTCTATGCACGGACACTTTTATGGTAGGTTTAGAACTTTGGGATCCCTAACCTGTGCACATAATGTAATTTGAGCCCTACACATTAGTTGGATGAGGCCAGTTTTACATATGAATTCTCAAAAAAGACTTTGCCACACAGAGACCAGCCAAGACAAACTGCCTTGTCTTCTCAATTTGTCAGTAGGATGACATTTTCTGGTCCGTGTTTTTTATTTTATTTTTTTGTTTTGTTTTGTTTTGTTTTCTTGAGATGGAGTTTTGCTCTTGTTACCCAGGCTGGAGTGAAGTGGTGCCATCTCAGCTCACTGCAATGTCCGCCTCCTGGGTTCAAGCAATTTTCCTACCTCAGGCTCCCAAGTAGCTGGGATTACAGGCATGCACTACCAGGCCAGGCTAATTGTCTGTATTTTTAATAGAGACGGCATTTCACCGTGTTGGTCAGGCTCATCTTGAACTCCTGACCTCAGGTGATCCACCCGCCTTGGCCTCCCAAAGTGCTGGGATTACACGCGTGAGCCACTATGCCCAGCCTGGTCCATTATTGTAGTAAGAGTTTAGCCCTCCAAGGCTTCCAATTTTGCAGGATGACAATAATCAGAGGGGAAGAGGAAAGAAACTTTGTTCTAACTTTCTGCCTGGAGTGAGTCAAAATCCTCCTCTTCTACCCTGGCAAATTCTGTACAGCCAGAAAGGGGTCATAGCTAAAAAATTCATGTAAGCTGTTTTAAGAATATTAAAAGCATTATCAATTATGATTCATAGCAAATAAAGGTAGCCATTTAATTAGCAAATGGAAATTTACCATGTTATTGTCTGTCCTTTACAGAAACCTATGGATTCCTCAGTGAGTAGCACCTAGTTGCCAGAAACAAGATGTCTAGTAACTTATACCTACTCATCTTAATCTCCGTCTACCTCCTACACATAATCTAAGATACTTTATATTTATTCCCACAAAATCTAGGTTCATTTCTTCTCGCCATTACCTCCTATAATATATTTATGCCAAATATCAGTTGAATTATCCTTTCAATAAAAAGATTTAGCAGGTTCCTGTTAAAAGATTTGGCACCTTGACACTGTGATCTTCAATAAGGTTGTGTATTCTTATCACAGCCAATCATCCTCTTATTTTGCATCCTGATGAAAAAGCTATTTTAACATATAAAATGAAGTAAATCTCATCATATTGCCATGATGTTTTTAACTATCATATATTATAAGTTATCATTTTCAAGAGTTCACATATAGGTTTTTTTTTTATTTTTTTATTTTTTTATTGAGACTGATTCTCACTCTGTCACCCAGGCTGGAGTGCAGTGGCACAACCTTGGCTTACTGCAACCTCCACCTCCTGGGTTCAAGCAATTATCCTGACTCAGCCTCCCATGTAGCTGGGATTACAGGCACGCACCACCACACCTGGCTAATTTTTGCATTTTTAGTAGAGACGGGATTTCACTGTGTTGGCCAGGCTGGTCTCAAACTCCTGACCTCATGTGATCCAGCCACCTCAGCCTCCCAAAGTGCTGGGATTAAGGCGTGAGCCACTGCACCTGGCCCACATATAGTTTTTAAATATTTTTAAAGTGAAAACACTTTGTTTAAAACCTACTTCATAAATTGACAGGTTATTTGGAATATATGTTAAGCAGATATCTCTTTCACCACACCAGTAAGCAATGTTGATCTATACCATGTATCATTTTATAGAATTGGCTATTAGTATATATGATAAAAGAGAATTGATCCTTTGTTTGTATACATCTATGTGTATGTAGATATTTAGCTGTACACTTTTTTGTATTTCAGGAGTTACACTCTTTGTGATATGGTATATGACCTGGTCAATCTTAGGCTCTGAAGCTCTCCCTGGTGGAAATTTATTTGGATTGTTAATTATTTTTTATAGTGCCATTATTGGGGGAAAAATTTTACAACTCATTAGAATACCTTTAGTGCCTCCACTTCCACCTCTTCTTGGTAAGTATATAGTTAGCTCTCTTTTCTTTATTATTGTCTATATGCAAATTTTGAACACTTTCTGGTTGAATTAGTTATAATTCAGAAATATTTCATTGCAGTATGTTTTATATAGTTTCTTCATGTGTGTATTTACTGTATGTGTGTGTGTGTGTGTGTGTGTGTACAGCTCCTTTATAGGGGCATTTATTTCTCTCTCTGTCTACATATATACACACACAAGTTTTATCCAAAATTTATTTTTAAAATAAATTTAATATCCTTAGTACATTATTCCTGTTGCTTTATTGTTTAATAGAATCTTTAAAAATTTTAGATTCATGGAGTACATGTGCAGGTTTGGTACATGGATATATTGCATAATGGTGAGATTTGGGCTCTAGTGAACCCATCACCAAACAGTGAATACTATACCCAATAGGTAATTTTTCAACCTTAACCCTCCAAACCTCTCTCCTTTTGGACTCCTCAGTGTCTATTAGTTCCATCTTTATGTCCATATGTAACTATTGTTTAGCTCCCACATATAAGTGAGAACATGTGGTATTTGAGTTTTCTGTTTCTGAGTTATTTCACTTAGGATAATGGTGTTCAGCTCTATCCATGTTGCTGCGAAGGACATGATGCCATTCTTTTTTATGACTGCATAGTATTCCATGGTGTATATGTACCATATTTTCTTTATTTAGTCATTTAAGTTGATTCCATGTCTTTTTATTGTGAATAGTGCCACAATGAACGTATGTGTGTATATGTCTTTATGGAAGAATGATTCACATGTTGAACCATCCTTGTATTTCTGGAGTAAAACCCACTTAACTATATTATCTTTTTGATGTACTATTGAATTCATTTTGCTGGTTGAGAATTTTTGCATCTATGTTCAACAGGGATATTGACCAGTAGTGTGTGTGTGTGTGTGTGTGTGTGTGTGTGTGTGTGTGTGTGTATGGCTTTGCCTGATTTGGGTATAATTGTGATACTAGATTCATAGAATGTGTTAGGGAGGGAGTCCCTCCTTGATTTTTTGGATTAAGTTTCAGTCACCTTTGATCCTGAACTAGTATTCTAGTGGATTGTACAATGACCCTGAACTAGTGGATTGTACAATGAATAAATGAATGCATATAAATTATTGTAGAATAAAATTTTGTTAAGTATATGATAACCATACAAATGCAAGACAATAAACAATGTGATATGAAAAGTCTCAGCCAGCCTACCATATTTGTGTTTGTTTTTGAACTGCATAGTGGGAGGAGGTGCTCCTTACAATTTTCACTTTGTAAACATTTATTCTTTGATTTTAACCATCACTGCTATAACCACCATCACTCGTGGATTCACCAAAAATTAAGTAAAGAATTATCTTATTTGTTTTTATAAAACTTTGTAAAATGTATGTAGAGCTCACATTTATTTCATTGTTTAATACTAGAAGTGTTTTGGATCTTTATTTAGAAGTTTGGTGATGTTTTGTGACCAGAAATATGCTGTAGGAAATTGACTCTTGTTTATATCATTTATCCTATGCTAAAATTGGTTTTGTTATATACCATTTTACTCAAAGTTGCCATTTCCAATCACCTATCGACGATGTTAAGTGAGAACTTACTCTATTCAAATATATCTAAATATTCAGTACAGTGGGCCAGGCATGGTGGCCCATGCCCATAATCCCAGCACTTTGAGAGGCCAAGGCAGGAGGATCACCTGAGCCCAGGAGTTCAAAACCAGCCTGGGCAACATAGCAGACCTTGTCTTTACAAAATATTAAAAATTTTTCTGGGTCTCAGCTACTCAGGAGGCTAAGGCAAGAGGATCACTTGAGCTCAGGAGGTTAAGCCTACAGTGAGCCATGTTTGCATCACTGCACTCACCGTGGGCAACAGAATGAGACCCTGTCCCCAAAAATAAATATATATTCGGTACATTGTCAGTAGAGATAATCTCTACATCTTATCTCTGCTGTCCCTTCTGTATCCACAGTTTTCTTGCAGCACCTTCTAAGTATTTATTGAATCATTTTCCTCCTCTCCAAACTTTCTCTTTTGCTCTAGCTTAGGCTATTTGTTTCCAACTTTTGCGTGGACTGTGGCAGAGCCTTCAATTTGGTCTCTGTCTCCAGTTTTGTCCCTAACTAATTCACCAAGACCCTCATATAAAAATCGCAAGACTCATTATGTTACTTCCTGCCTAAAACCTTCCCATGGTGCCTTACTTTGCCAAAGTGGGGGGAGACCTTTCTATGATCTGTCCCACCAAGCTCATTCTCCTCCCTCCTTTCCTTGCCCTGTATGTTCCAGCAACGCTAAATTACTTGTTGAACCCCATTTAGGTGTATTGTTTCTTATCGCCATTCCTTTATTCATGCTGCCTTCTCTACTTGCTTGTAACCTGCCCTTTACCAAAATAATGAGGGACATAGTGCATTAGAAAATAAAGTAAATATTTCTGTTTTCTTTCTCAGAAAAATGAACTGTCATGTATGTTTATTTTGTTTCTTTTAAGGGATGTAACTGGCTGGTTTTACAATTAGGAATGTTCCATTCATCAGTGAACATGTCCATGTTCCTAACGCATGGTCTTCAATTTTAAGAAGCATTACCCTTAACATTATTCTAATACGAGCTGGGCTTGGACTCGATCCACAGGTAGATTTACAATTACAAATCGAGTAAGGTTATTTCAAATATTAGAGGATGGTGAGAAAGAAAAAGAAGAAAAATTTCATTTACCTGTTCCAAGTGGAGTCTGTAAACAACCCTAAGATAAAGAAAAAAAGGCCAGGCATGATGGCTCACGCCCGTAATCTACAAAAATTAGCCGGGCATGGTGGCATTTACCTGGTAATCCCAGCTACTCGGGAGGCTGAGGCAAGAGAATCGCTTGAATCTGAGTGACAGAGGTTGCAGTGAGCTGAGATAGTGCCACTGCAATCCAGCCTGGGGGACAGAGTGAGACTCCATCTCAAAAAAACAAAACAAAAAAACAAAGCTTTTATAAGAAAAACCTTATACAATTCTTTTTCTTTTTTTAGGGAGATTAAGGATTTCAGTAATTTTTTATGACGGTTTCTCTACAGGATTATGTTCCTGATTATCTTTGTATTATTGTAAAATCTAATCTTTTAAAGCATTTCTTAAAGTATTACATCCCAGGGATCATAAATCCCATCTATAAGAAGATGACTATTCATGAATATGACAGCCACTCAAATAAATGTGGCAAATGTGGTTTAATAGAAATAGCTCAAGAGCATAAATAATTACAGCCAATGAGATTATATTCTCCAGTAGAAAGTATGAACCAAGGAGAAAATTGAAAAGTTCTCCCTTTTAAAAGAATTATGCAATTTTTAAGTTAGTTTCTTTGGCATGTTAGTATTGTATTTATACTTACTAAGTTAATCAAACAGTTCATATCAAAAAGTTAATGGGAAAACACTACTAGGACACTATTATTATACTATGTATTAGGAAAGTTCAGGAAGGTAGCATTAGCTATTTAATCACAGTAAAATTGATCTTTTAATAATTAAAATACAATAATATTTTATGAAAGAAGAAATTGTTTATAATCCAACCTATGATGACACATAAAATATAATAGAGTTCGAAGTCCAGTGGGACAATCTGTTGAAATGAGATTTTGTTTAGTGAAAGCTTCTTAGGAAAAAAGACTTTATAGTCCAACATTTGTTAAAATAATTTTCTTGTTGGCCATTGTAAATGTATCAAATGTGACTGTTTTGTGTTTCAGGCTTGGAGGCATTTGAAGGTGGTTTGTTTCAGATTGGCTGTAGGTCCATGCCTTATGGAGGCAAGTGCAGCTGCTGTTTCTTCCCACTTCATTATGAAATTTCCCTGGCAATGGGCAATTCTATTAGGGTAATTTCTTTCTCATTTTTTCTTAAGAAAATATTCAATTAAGGATGCTTGGTTAAAACTGTTAAAATATTCAGAATATTGTATAGAAAAGCTCTATTAAAATTCATTTCACAGTGTTAAAATCCTTGGAAAGCAGTTGATTAAAAGCAGAGCATGTCCCAAATTGCACGAAATTTTTTTAACAAACATTCCTAGCCCCTAAATGTTTATCATCAAGAAAATTGACGTGATCAATTTATTCCTTTTCATCTGTATTATAACATATCTGTATGTTTTAATCTATCTAATGGCCTCTTCCTGATAGCTATATGTAAATACAGTTGCACATTTCGTATATATGTATGTGTATATATATATATATTTGAGAAACATTTTATATAGACATAGGTGTATAAATATAAACTCTCCCATTTTAAAGAAAGCAAGCAAACAAAAACTCTTGCCGTATATCCAATGCCCCATCCATCTTTATCTACCATCCGTTTGTCTTATGTTTGAATTCCTCAAAATAAGTCTATAACTACTGTCTCTAGATCCTAACTCCTTTTCATTTCTTAATTCAGCAACTTTTGTCTCTGCTTATCCATTCCAGTGACACTCATAGCAAAGTTCATCCATTACATAGTTACTACAAAATCCAGTGAATTTTTAAACTAATGTTTATGATAAAATGCTCAAAGGCACTTTTATTTTAAAAATTAGAACTTTATAAATAAAGGAGGAATGACCTTAAACTATGCCTTCAAATCATAATGCCCATAACTCTACCCAAAGTGACAACTCTTAGGAGTTTTTTTCTTCTCCAATTTTTATTTTGGCTCAAGGGGTACATGAGCAGGCTTGTTATATGGATAAATTGCATGTCACAGGGGTTTGGTATGCAGATTATTTTGTCACCCAGGTTGTAAGTGTAATACCCAATAGGTAGTTTTTCTATTCTCCCCCTCCTTCCACCCTCCACCCTCAAATTCACCTAGTGACGATTGTTCCCTTCTTTCTGTCCATGTGTACTCAGTGTTTAGCTCCCACTTATAAGTGAGAATATGGGATATTTGGTTTCCTGTTTCTGCGTTAATTCACTTTGCATAATGGCCTCAACTCCATCCACGTTGCTCCAAAGGACATGATCTCGTTCTTTCTTATGGCTGTGTATTATTCTATGGTGTATATGTGACACATTTTCTTTATCCAGTTCACCATTGATGGGCATTTAGGTTGATCTCATGTCTTTTTATTTTTTTTCATTAGTTTTTAAGGAACAGGTGGTGTTTGTTTACATGGAAAATATTTTTAGTGGTAATTTCTGAGATTTTGGTGCACCCATCACCAGAGCAGTGTACACTGCACCCAAGGTGTAGTCTTTTATCCCTCACCCTCCTCCTACTCTTCCCCCTAAGTCCCCAAAGTCCATTGTATCATTCTTCTGCTTTTGCATCCTCACAGCATAACTCCCACTTATAAGTCAGAACATACAATGTTTGGTTTTTTCATTCCTGAATTACTTCACTTAGAATAATGGTGTCCGACTCCTTCCAGGCTGCTGTGAATGCCATTATTTCATTCCTTTTTATAGCTGAGTAGTATTCCGTCCATGGTCTGTGTGTGTGTATATATACACACATACACATATATACACACATGTATGTGTATATACACGTATATACACGTGTGTGTGTATACACGTATATACACGTGTGTGTGTATACACGTATATACACGTGTGTGTGTATACACGTATATACACGTGTGTGTGTATACACGTATATACACGTGTGTGTGTATACACGTATATACGTATATACACATGTGTGTGTGTATATACACATATATATACACCACATTTTCTCTATGCATTCATTGATTGATGGGCATTTGAGCTAGTTCCATATCTTTCACAATTGCAAATTGTGCTGCAGTAAACGTGTGTGCAAGTGTTTTTTTCATATAATGACTTCTTTTCCTCTGGGTAGATACCCAGTAGTGGGATTGCTAGATGAAATGGTGGATCTACTTTTAATTATTTAAGAAATCTTCATACTCTTTTCCATAGTGGTTGTACTAGTTTACATTCCCCCCAGCAGTGTAAAAGTGTTCCCTTTTTACCACACCCATGGCAACATCTATTTTTTTTAATTTTTTGATTATGGCTATTCTTGGAGGAGTGAGATGGTATCACATTGTAGTTTTGTTTGCATTTCCCTGATAATTAGTGATATTGAGGATTTTTTCATGTTTCTTGGCCATTTATATCTTCTTTTGGGAAGTGTCTATTCATGTCCTTAGCACACTTTTTGATAGGATAATTTGTTTTTTTCTTGCTGATTTGTTTGAGTTCCTTATAGATTCTGGATATTAGTACTTTGTTGGATGCATAGTTTGTAAAGATTTTCTCCCACTCTATAGGTTGTCTTTTTACTCTGCTCATTATTTCTTTTGCTGTGTAGAAGCTTCTTAGTTTAATTAAGTCCCATCTATTTATCTTTGTTTTTGTTGCCTTTGCTTTTGGGTTCTTGGTCGTGAAGTCTTCGCCTAAGCAAATGTCTAGAAGGGTATTTCCAATGTTACCTTCTAGAATTTTTATAGTTTTAGGTGTTAGATTTAAGTCTTTGATCCATCTTGAGTTGATTTTTGTATGAGGTGAGAGATGAGGATGCAGTTTCATTCTTCTACATATGGCTTGCCAATTATCCCAGCACCATTTGTTGAATATGATGTCCTTTCCCAACTTTATGTTTTTGTTTCCTTTGTTAAAGATCAGTTGGCTTAAGTATTTGGCTTTATTTCTCGGTTCTCTATTCGGTTCCATTAGTCTATGTGCCTATTTTTATACCAGTATTATGCTGCTTTGGTGACTATAGCCTTATAGTATAGCTTGAAGTCAAGCAATGTGATGCATCCACATTTGTTCTTTTTGCTTAGTCTTGCTTTGGTTATGCGGGCTATTTTTGGGTTCCACATGAATTTTAGGATTGCTTTTTCTAGTTTGAGGAAGAATGATGATGTAGATTGCTTTTGGCAGTATGGTCATTTTCACAATATTGATTCTACCTATCCATGAGCATGTGATGTGTTTCTATTTGTTTGTGTCATCTATGATTTCTTTCTGCAGTGTTTTGTAGTTTTCACTGTAGAGGTCTTTCACCTCCTTGGTTAGGTATATTCCTAAGTTGGTTTGCTTGGGGTTTTTTCTTTGGTTTTGTTTGTTTGTTTGTTTTGGTTTTTTCGTAGCTGTTGTAAAAGGAGTTGAGATCTTGATTTAATTCTCAGCTCAGTCACTGTCAGTGTATACCAGTGCTACTGATTTGTGTACATTGATGTTGTATCCTGAAACGTTACTGAATTCATTTATCAAATCTAGGAGCTTTTTGGATGAGTCTTTAGGGTTTTCTCATTATATGATCATATCATCAGGAACAGCAACAGTTTGACTTCCTCTTTACTGATTTAGATGCCCTTTATTTCTTTCTCTTGTCTGATTGCTCTGGCTAGGACTTCCAGTACTATGTTGAATAGAAGTGGTGAAAGTGGGCATCCTTGTCTTGTTCCAGTTCTTGGGGGAATGCTTTCAACTTTTCCCCATTCAGTGTAATGTTGGCTGTGGGTTTCTCTTTCTTTCTCTTTCTATATTTTTTTTTTTGAGATGGAGTCTTGCTCTGTTGCCCAGGCTAGAGTGCAATGGCCCAATCTCAGCTCACTGCAACCTCTGCCTCCCAGATTCTAGCAATTCTCATGCCTCAGCCTTCCAAAGACCTGGGAGTAGCTCCCCAAGCTCGCCAACATCTATTACTTTTTGACTTTTTAATAATAGCCATTCTGCCTCCTGTGAGGTTATCTCTCATTGCACTTTTGTTTTGAATTTCTCTAATGATTAGTGATGTTGAATATTTTTCCGTATACTTGTTGACTACGTGTTTGTCTTCTTTTGAGAATTGTCTTGTCCTGTCCTTTGCCCATTTAATGGGGTTGTTAGATTTTTGCTTGTTGATTTTTCTAAGTTCTTTTTGGATTCTGGATATTAGACTTTTGTCGAATGCATGGTTTGCAAATATTTTATCCCATTCCATAGGTTGTTTGTTGATGATTTCTTTTGCTGTGCAGAAGCCCTTTAGTTTAACTAGGTCCCATTTGTCAATTTTTGTTTTTGTTGCAATTGTTTTTGGCATTTTTGTCATAATGTGTTTTCCAGAATTGAAATTTCCTCGGATATGTCCAGAATGGCCTGTATCCAGAATGGTATTTCTTAGGCTATCTTCCAGGGTTTTTATAGTTTTGGGTTTTACATTTAAGTCTTTAATCTACCTTGAGTTGATTTTTGTAAATGGTGAAACGTATGGAATCCAGTTTCAATTTTCTGCATACGGCTAGCCAGTTATCCCAGCACAATTTCCAAGTAGGGATTCCCTTCCCCATTGCTTGTTTTTGTCAAGTTTGTTGAAGAGTAGATGGCTAAAACTGTGCGGCTTTATTTCTGCGTTCTGTAACCTGTTCCACTGGTCTGTGTCTGTTTTTGAGTTCCTTATAGATTCTGGATATTAGTACTTTGCTGGATGCATAGTTTGTAAAGATTTTCTCCCACTCTATAGGTTGTCTTTTTACTCTGCTGATTATTTCTTTTGCTGAGCATAACCATGCTGTTTTGCTTACTGTAGCATTGTAGTACAGTTCGAAGTCAGGTAGTGTGACACTTTCGACTTTGTTCTTTTTGCTTAGGATTGCTTTGGCTATTCGGGCTTTTTTTTTTTTTTTTGGCTCCAAATGAATTTTAGAATGCTTTTTTTTTAATCCTGTGAAAAATGTCATTGATGGTATGATAGGAATAGCATTGACTCTGTAAATAGCCTTAGACAGTATGGCCATTTTAACAATATTGCTTCTTTTTATCTGTGATCATGGAATGTTTTCCTTTTGTTTCTGTTGTCCCTGATTCTTTGAGCACTCGTTTGTAATTTTAATTTTAGAGATTTTTCACCTCCCTGCTTAGCTGTATTACAAGGTATTTTGTAGTTTTTTTTGTGGCTACTGTGAATGGGATTGCATTCTTGATTTGGCTGTCAGCTTGGAGGTTGTTGGTGTACAGAAATGTTACAGATTTTTGTACATTGATTTTTGTATCCTGAAACTTTGCTGAAGTCATTTGTCAGATCTGAGAGCTCTCGAGAGGCTACTATGGGGTTTTCTTGGTATAAAAGTGTTTCACCTATGAAGAGGCATAGTTTGACTTCCATTCTTCCTATTTAGATGTCTGTGTTTCTTTCTCTTGCCGAATTGCACTGGCTAGGACATCCAGCATTACCTTGAATAGGAGTAGTGAGAGTGGGCATCCTTGTCTTGTTCCAGTTCTCAAAGGGAATATTCCAGCTTTTTCCCATTCAGTATGAAGTTGGCTGTGGGTTTGTCATAAAAGGCTCCAATTATTTTGAGGTATGTTCCTTCAGTAACTCATTTGTTGAGGGTTTATATCATGAATGGATGTTTTTATTTTTAGTTCTATTTTATGATTAATCACATTTATTGGTTTGTATATCTTGAACCAAACTTGTATCCCAGTGATAAAGCTCACTTGATCATAGTGGACTAGCTTTTTGATATGCTGCTGGATTCAGTTGGCTTGTATTTTGTTGAGGATTTTTGCATCTATGATCATCAGTGATAACTGTCCTGAAGTTTTCTTTTTTGTTGTGTCTCTGCCAGGTTTTCATATCTGAATGATGCTGACCTCATTAAATGAGTTAGGGAGGGATCCTTCGTCCTCATTTTTTTGGAATAATTTCAGTAGCATTGGTACCAGCTCTTCTTTACACTTCCGGTAGAATTTGTCTGTGAATCTGTTGGGTCCTAGGCTTGCTTTTTTTTTTTTTTTTTTTTTTGGCTCAGAGACTTTTTATTACTCATTCAATTTCAGAACTCATTTTTGGTTTGTTCAGGATTTCAATTTCTTCCTAATTCAATCTTGGGAGGTTGTATGTTTCCAGAAATTTACCCATTTCTTGTAGGTGTTCTACTTTGTTTGCATAAACATGTTCATCATAGTCTCTGAGAGTTTTTTGTATTTCTGTGTGGTTGGCAGTAATGTCCACTTTACCATTTCTGATTGTGTTTTTTGTATCTTCTCTTTTTTTTTTCTTATTGGTATAGCTAGTGACCTATCAAATTTATTTATTCTTTCGAAGAACCAGCTTTTAGTTTCATTTATCTTTTGTATGGCTTTTCATGACTCAATTTCATTCCATTCTGCTCTGATTTTGGTTATTTATTTTCTTCTGCTAGCTTTGGGTTTGTTTCCTCTTGTTTTTCTATTTCCTTTAGGTATGATATTAGGTTGTTAATTTAAGATCCTTCTAACTTTTCAATATGGGCATTTAGCATGATAATCTTTTCCCTTAACACTGCTTTGCCTGTGTCTTAGAGAGCCTAGAATGTTGTATCTTTGTTTTAATTAGTTTCAAAGAATTTATTGGTTTCTGCCTTAATTTCATTGTTTACCTAAAAGTCATTCAGGCACAGGTTGTTTAATTTCCATGTAATTGTATGGTTTTCCGAGTTCTTCTTAGTGTTGACTACTATTTTTGTTACACTGAGCGGTCCAAGAGTGTGGTTGGCATGATTTCAGGGGTTTCTTTTAATAAAATAATTTTAGACTGATAGTGTGATCAATTTTACAATATATGCCATGTACAGATGAGAGGAAGATATATTCTGTTGTTGGGTGGAGTGTTCTGTAGATGGCTGTTAGGTCCACTTAGCCAAGTGTTGACTTCAATTCCTGAATATCTTTGTTCATTTTCTGTCTATATGATCTGTGTAGTACCGTCAGTGAGATGTTGAAGTCTCCCACTATTATTCTGTGGTTATCTAAGTCTCTCTATAGGTCTCTATGAACTTGTTTTACGAATGTGAATGCTCCAGTTTTGAGCACATTTATATTTCCGACAGTTAAGTCTTCTTGTTGAATTGAATCCTTTATCATTATGTAGTGCCCTTCTTTGTCTTTTTGATTGTTGTTGGTTTAAAGTCTATTTTGTCTGAATTAGAATAACAATGCTTACCCTTTTTTGTTTTGCATTTGCTTGGTAGATTTTTTTCCATCCTTTTACTTCAAGCCAATGGGTATTGTTGCATATGAGCTGGGTCTCTTGACAACAGATAGAGTTGGGCTTTGCTTCTTTATCCAACTTGCCATTCTGTGAGTTTTAAGCGGGGCATTTATACTGTTTACATTCACAGTTAATATTGGTATTTACAGCTTTGGTCCTGCCATTATGTTGTTAGCTGGTTATTATGCAGACTTGATTGTGTAGTTACTTTACAACGTCAATGGTCTATGTACTTAAATGTATTTTTGTGGTGGCCATTAACAGTCTTTCACTTCCACGCTTAGCACTCCCTTAAGGACCTCTTGTAAGGCATGTCTGGTGGTAACAGATTCCGTTAGCATTTGTTTGTCTGAAAAGGATCTTACTTCTCCTTCACATATGAACTTTAGTTTGGCTGGATATTAAGTTCTTGGTTGAATTTTTTTTTTTTTTTTTTGTGACAGAGTCTTGCTCTGTCCCCAGGCTGGAGTGCAGTGGTGCTATCTCGGCTCACTGCAACCTCCACCTCCTGGATTAAGTGATTCTCTTGCCTCAGCCTCCCGAGTAGCTGGGACTACAGACACACACCACCATGCCCAGCTAATTTTTGTATTTTTATTAGAGATGAGGTTTCACCATGTTGGCCAGGATGGTCTTGATCTCTTGACCTTGTGTTCCGCCCTCCTCAGCCTCCCAAAGTGCTGGGATTACAGGCATGAGCCACCACACCCGGCCAAGTATTTTTTTTTTTTAAGAATGCTGAAGGCTGGGTGTGGTGGCTCACACCTGTAACCCCAGCACTTTGAGAGGCTGACGAGGGCAGATCATGAGGTCAGGAATTTGAGACCACCCTGGCCAATATGGTGAAATCCTGTCTCTACTAAAATTATAAAAAATTGCTGGGTGTTGTGGTGTGCACCTGTAGTCCCAGCTACTTGGGAGGCTGAGGGAGAAGAATTGCTTGAACCCGGGAAGTGGAGGTTGCAGTGAGCCGAGATAGCACCAGTGCACTCCAGCCTGGGCAACAGAGTGAGACTCCATCTCGGAAAAAAAAAAAAAGAATGCTGAATATAGGCCCCCAGTTTCTTTTGGATTGTACAGTATCTTGTAGTTCCACTGTTAGCCTGATGGGATTCTCTTTGTATGTGACCTGCCCGATGGGATTCTCTTTGTATGTGACCTGCCCCTTCACTTTAGCTGCCTTTCATATTTTTTTATTTCATGTTGACCTTGGAGAATCTGATGACCGTCTGTCTTGGGGATGGTCATCTTGTATAGTATCTCACAGGATTCTCTGCATTTCCTGGATTTAAATGGTGACTTCTTTAGAAAGATTTGGGAAATTTTTGTGGGCAGTATCCTCAAATATGTTTCCCAACTTGCTTGTTCTTTCTCCCTTTCTTTGAGTGATGCCTTGAGTCATATGGTTGGTCTCTTTACATAATCTCAGATTTCTCAGAGGTTTTGTTCATTCTTTTTTGTTCTTTATTTTCATCTGACTGAGTTGATTCAAAGAAGTGGTCTTTGAGATCTGAGATTCTTTCCTCAGCTTGGTCCGTTCTGCTGTTAGTACTTGTTATTGTATTATGAAATTCTTGAGGTGCATTTTTCAGCTCTATCAGTTTAGTTTGGTTCTTTCTTAAAATGCTTATTTCATCTTTCAGCTCTTATGTCATCTTATTGGATTCCTTAGATTATTTGGATTGGATTTTGACTTTCTTCTGAATCTCAATGACCTTTGTTTCTATCCAGATTCTGAAATCTATGTCTGTCATTTAATCCTGGTTAACAACCATTGTTGGAGAGTTAGTATGATTGCTTGAAGACAGGAAGACATTCTGGCTTTTTACATTGCCAGAGTTCTTGCACTGGTTCTTTCACATCTGTGTGGGCTAAGGTTCCTTTAAGGTTTTGAATTACTGTCCTTTGGATGGAGTTTTTTCCTTTTTTATATTCTTTAATGCCCTTGAGGGTTTGACTGTGGCACAAGGTAGTTTCAGTCAAATGACTTCATTTCTGGAAGATTTCAGGGGGCAAAGGCTCAGCTCAGCACTCCTGAACTGCATGCTCTAACTTTGCAAGGCTGGTACCATACCCACATATTTGTTGTCTGGCCCTTCAATGTTAAGCACTGAGGTGTTCCCAGTCCACTGGCAACAACACTGTGATGGGGTGTGCCAGCCAAAGTGCTTCATTGTAGTGATTGGTAGCAAGGTCCCCACTCACACATATGTGTCAGCAGCAGCAGCACACAGCAGGTATGCCTGTGTTGGCAGGGGTGCAGTGCCGGCAGGAGTGGGATGGGGGTGTTCTGCATACTTGCACCTGCCAGCCGGAGCAATGGTGCTGTGGGGTGCACTCATGTGCCGCTGGAGACAGAGTGGCAGCATCTTCATGAGTTTTATGTTATCATTCTAGATCTTTAAAAATAATGTTCTGGACTTCTAACAAATGTATTTGTGAACGCAGAGAAAAAAAGAGTATTATTTTGTGCATTTCTACTTAATTATACCCAAGAAACTTTTACTTTACAATTTGTTCTTTTCACTCAACAATAGTCTTGAGGTTTATCCATCTCAAGATGGATACACATGTAGTTTATTCCTTTTAATTGTATAAGATTACATTGTATGTCAACAGCAGATTTTATTTACAATTTTATAACAAAAATAGCATTTTATTTGTCTCCTTTTACATAAATATAAGTTTGTCTAGAATAGTTACCTGGGTTACATGCATTTTTAGTTTGATGTATACTGCCATAATCCTTTCGGTATGGCCACTATAATTTGCCCTAATACGAATAGCCTATCGGCATACCTGTTGTTCTTGAAAATCCTTGCAAATCCTTGATATTATTAAATTTTATAATGTTTTCCAATCTGATAATTGAAAAAATGGCATATTTTTGTTATTTTAATTTGCATTTCTGTGATTATTCACAAGCTTGAATATCTTTTATATATGTGTTATCCTTCAGCTTTTCCTTATCTGTAACTAGCCTGTTCATATCCTTTGTCCATTTTTTTGTTGAGTTGGTCTTCTTTATTAATTATATCTGTTATATGCATTTGTAAATTATATGTATTGCAAATATCAGTAGATATTTAATTTTGTTTGTGATGATTTTTTTCACTCTAAGAAGTGTATTTTGTTATTTTCAACAGACAGAATTGCCAATACACAACACCGTTCACTTGATTTTGAAAATGAAAAAGAAAAAGGGGGAGAAAGAGCAGAATTGTTTCTGAAGTAGTACTTTATTATAGTACTTTTGAAGTTGCTTTTGAAGTACTACTTTAATATAATTGAATGTATCAAAATCTCTTTTTATGTCTAATGCCTTTGTATGTATCATTCAAAAGGTCCTTTTTACCTCATGATCACAAATATATTATTCTACATCTTTTTTTTTGTTGTTCAGAGTCTTGTTGTCACCCAGGCTGTAGTGCAGTGGCATGATCTCAGCTCACTACACCCTCCACCTCCCAGGTTCAAGTGATTCTCCTGCCTCAACCTCCCAAGTAGCTGGACTACAGGCATGCACCACTGCACCCAGCTATTGGTTTCGCCATGTTGGCCAGGCTGGTCTCAGATTCCTGATCTGTCCGCCTCAGCCTCCCAAAGTGCTGGGATTACAGGTGTGAGCCATCAGGCCTAGCCCACTACATTTTCTTATTACTACTTTTCCTTTTGAGCTTTTAATATTTATTATGTGTAAGGATCTATCTATATTCCTTTCCACATAAATAGTTATCTCAACACCATTTGTGAACGATTTCTTTCTTTCTCCCACTGATTTAAAATACCAATTGTATGATGTAACAAATCCCATAGATTTGTTTCCACACTTTGTATTCTCTTTTCTTCCAATTTATTTTGCCTATTTGTATGTCACTATTATTCAGTTTTAACTATTTTACCTTTACAAAAACAGCATCTTGTTTTCTTAAGTTTACTTGATCTTTCATTCTAAGATCTTATTCTTCCAAATGAATTTTATAATCAGATTGTCAAGCTCAGTAAAAATCCCTGCAAAGATTTTGATTGGTGTATCTCTGATTAATTCATTTGGGGGAGAGATTACATCTTTATATTATTGAGGCTTTGGCCGGGCGTGGTGGCTCACACCTATAATTCCAGCATTTTGGGAGGCCAAGGCAGGCATATCACTTGGGGTCAGGAGTTCAAGACCAGCCTGTCCAAAATGGTGAAACACCGTATCTACTAAAAACACAAAAACTAGCCAGGTGTGGTGTTGGGCGATGGTAAAATTGGGGCTTTTTAGTTCAAACTTGTGACATGTCTCTCTAAGTATTCAGCTATTATCTTAATTATTATATTATTATATTCACAGTTTTTATAAAAATATAGACTGTCTTCACAGTTTTGTTCTTAGATACTTTGTGTTTTTAATTGATATTGTGGATTAAATTCTCTTTGATCACTTATTCCTGGGGAAGCCAGCTGCCATGTCCTGAGGCAGCCCTGTGGAGAAAACCCCACTGGAAAAAACTGAAGCCTGCAATGGCTACATGAGTAAACTTGGAAGCAGATCTTCTCCACCCCACCCTACCTCATGGGAAATCTTAAGTCAAGGCATACAGCTAAGCCATGCCCAGATTCCTGACCCACAGAAGTCATAAGACAATAAATATTTGTTGTTTTAAGCTGCTATGTTTAGGGATGACTTGTTAAGCAAAATGAGAAAAATAATACAACAGGTGATTACAATGTTCAGCAGAGTTCAGGAACCACTGAGCCAGACCAGTACATGGTCTTAGAGAAGTCTAGTCTCTTCTTGAGCCCACAGGGAAATCTGTAGCATAAACTGCGCCATAGAGTTGTACAGCCAGAAGCAATTCTCACATCAGTCCGTCATTGACAGATGCTGTCTGGAGGAAAAGTAGAGGGGTGCACAACCTCCCTAGTATTCCCAGGTAGGTGCTTGTCAGCAGGACAAGGGTTTTAGAAACCTGCAGATATTAGCAGCCAACAAGAAGCACTGGGAGATGTGTTCATTGACCTGGTAAATGGATTCTGGCAGAAGCACCAAAAGCAGTTCTACACAGGATATACTTCACGCTTTGTAAAGTAAATGTAGAAGAGATGAGGTGAAATTTTGGATAAGATATGCCAATAGAAGGTATTCTGAGCAGGAGCCACCCCATTCCTCATGGGCGTCACCAACCACTCCAGAAATGTTCTCATTTGCCTTTGTAACTTAGGTGGCCACACTTGTTTTTTTGGGCAGACAGCTCTGTTCCTTCCTTCCTTACTTACTTATTTATTCAAGAGCTAGGAAATGTGTGGAAGGTAGATTTGTCTGACCATTCTTACAGTGGTACTCCAAATAATCAACTATTTGGTTTCCCCAGAGGTCTCCCCTGCTCCCAGCATCTGTCATTTCAGGGCTTGGACCACTTTTAGAAGCACATGTATCTTTTGAGGCAATCTTATTTACACACATTTTGGTTTATGGTTTCCTTTTTTCAATGCTAAATTGTCTGTCTCTTATCTTTCTGGCATATACTTAGTTTCTTGTCCATTGATTCACCTTTTGCTTTCTAGTTAGGTTATGAATTTTTCTATTACCTTTACATCTTCACTTCAAAGGATTTAGGAATAGAGGGAGAGGCTGCAACCTGTGCTCAGCCCAACATTTTAAACCATGTCTGTATAAAATTTTAGCCAGCACTAAACAATGCATGAAAAGTTTTATCACCATTAAATTGCATTCACTCAAATTTGAAATTCTTCTAAACAATGTTTGTTATAAATTTATTATAAACTACTTGTACTTATAAAACACTACTTGATTAAAAATATGCTTTTAAATTAATTTTCATTCTTTCTTTCAATTTTGTTCTAGGTGCTGTCTCTCCTGCTGTTGTTGTCCTTTACACGATGGTGTTGCAAGAAAATGGATATGGTGTTGAGAAAGACATTCCAACCTTACTAATGGCTGCTAGCAGTATGGATGACATTCTGGCTCTCACTGGATTCAATACATGCTTGAGCATAGTCTTCTCCTCGGGTAAACAAGAAAATATAACAACCACCAGATCATTCATGACCTTTTTTGTTAGTTCTTTAAACAGGGTTTCTGGCTTTGCTTCTTCATTTATTAACCAAGACTGTTCAATTTAACATCTTTTTAATCTCCATAGAAGCTCATTCCAGACCAAGGAAGATATTTCAGTGGCCTAAGATACCACTACTTAACACACATGATCTCACTTTAATAATCATGTGACAATTAATTTGATAAACCATATTATTACTATTTATCTGCTTATGTTGCTTTTGAATTTTATCAGTTCTCATTAGAAAAAATTAAGCAGCAGTATTATATGTACTACTAATATTTTAATAGGCATTTTTGAAATGTGCCTTTTTGGCCATCCTAATAAAAAACTGGTTGCTGTATTATAAGACAACATAAACATACAGAGCTGGGACAGCCATATGCCTTTTTGGTTGTGTTAGGACAAGATCCTGCACCAGTTCTGATTCCCAAGTTGATATCTGGTCTTGAATATTACTAGAGAAATTGTGAAACTAAACATTTCCACATTAAGTAATGCTTTAATTATCTGCAATGTTTGAGTCTTCTGTATTATTGAAGCGCTAAACTATTTTTAAGTTGAAAAGTAATATATAGTTTTATAGTTTCTCTTAAAATAAGAAAATATAAATAAATAAGAAAAAGAGGAAAAGTTAAAAATAAAATCTGCAATAGTCACATCCAGGAGAAAAGAATCATTTCCTTCTGAACCTTTTGATATAAATCCACCCATATTCCATTCCCTCCCCTTCCCTTCTTCCCTTCCCTTCCCTTCCCCTCTCCTCCCCCTTCCCTTCCCTTACCCCTCTCTCTCTGTCAAATATTCTTATAAAAATCAGTGAATATTGACCAATATGTTCTTTTATTTATTTATTTATTTTGAGGCGGAATCTTGCTCTGTCACCCAGGTTGGAGGGCAGTGGCAGAATCTCGGCTCACTGCATGCTCTGCCTCCCGGGTTCATGCCATTCTCCTGCCTCAACCTCCCAAGTAGTTGGGAATACAGGCGCCCGCCACCACGCCCGGCTAATTTTTTTTGTATTTTTAGTAGAGCCAGGGTTTCACCGTGTTAGCCAGGATGGTCTTGTTCTCCTGACCTCGTGATCCGCCTGCCTCGGCCTCCCAAAGTGCTGGTATTACAGGCGTGAGCCATCACACCCGGCCTAATATGTTCTTATAACCTGAATTGTTTTACACTTAACTGTATATCACAAACATGTTTCTTTTCAGTAAATGTATTTGTATATCATTTTTAATAGTTGTTTAGCTTAGTGAAAGAGTATTCAGTGTGCTGCATCATGATTTCTTATCCTGTTCAAAATTAAAGTTAACTCCAATATTTACTATTAAAATAATACTTAGTTGTGCTGCTATAAAAATATTTTTTAAATTAAAAAATTGGCCAGGCATGGTGGCTCACACCTATAATCCCAGCACTTTGGGAGGCCAAGAAGGGCGGATCACTTGAAGTCAGGAGTTCAAGACCAGCCTGGCCAACCAACATGGTGAAACCCCATCTCCACTAAAAATACAAAACTTAGCCGGGCATGGTGGTGGGCATCTGTAATCCCAGCTACTCAGGAGGCTGAAGCAGAAGAATCACTTGAACCCAGGAGGCGGAGGCTGTAGTGAGCTATCCAGCCTGGGCAACAGAGCGAGACTCTGTCTCAAAAAAAATTTTTTTAATTAGAAAAATAATACTTAGTTGAACATACAGAGAAATATTTGTACCTAATCTTCATATTTTCTTAAGCTTAAAAGTGTAATTGTTGATCTAAAAGGTATATACATTTATGAGTGTTCTGAAACACATTGCCACAATATCATGTCCTACCAGGGCACATAAACTTGTCATTTCCTCTCACCTCTCTTCAAAACTTGGTATTACTAACCTTTTTCATCTTTGCTAATTTGATAGGTGAAGGAGGGATCTCTATAAATGAAGTACTTTGAATATTAGTGTTGTTAAATATCCATGTTTATTAGTCATTGGCATTTTGTAAATTGCTTTTCTTGAAAGTTTTTTGCCTATTTCTTTTATGTGGGTTCACCTTTTGTTCTTTTTGATTTGTCAAGATTCTGCATTAAATTGAGAATGAAAACCTTTGTTTTATATACTTTAGTTTTTTCAATTTGTAATTTGGCTTTTAATTTTCTCACTCTTTTTACCATTCAGAAGTTAAAGTTTTTTATTTTCAATTGTGAAAATCTGTTCCTTCATGATTGGTATCTGTCATTCTTTCAAAAAATATTGTTATCTGTCATGTTTCAAAAAAATATTTCCAGGCTGGGCCCAATGGCTCACGCCTATAATCCCAACACTTTGGCAGGCCAAAGCGGGGGGATCACTTGAGGACATGAGTTCAAGACCAGCCTGGCCAACATAGCAAAGCTCCATCTCTACTAAAAATACAAAAAGTTAGCTGGGTGTGGTGGCAAAGGCCTGTAATCCCAGCTACTCAGGGGGCTGAGGCACAAGAATCGCTTGAACCCAAGAGACAGAGGTTGCAGTGAGCCAACATCACACCACTGCACTCCAGCCTGGGTGACAGGGGGAGACTCTCTGAAAAAAGAAAAAAAAATTCCTCTTCCTTTTGCCGGCTACTATGCCAAACACTGAGAATAAACAGTAGGCAACAACATTAGCTTTTATTGAATACTTGCTTGGCTCTTGTTCTACGTTCCATATATGTCACCACTCATTTACAGGTAAGGAAACTTAGAAAGATGTTAAGTAATTTTCTCAAGGACAGAGATC